>NC_000020.11:30608987-30761898 GCF_000001405.40 Homo sapiens | reverse complement strand
GAATTCATGTAAAGAAAGACCATGGGTGTTTGTACTGGATTTAGTATTCATCATTCGACCGCATAACTCACCCCTAGTGCCATAATTTTACTAACGGATTTTTCAGATACTACTCAGCTGGCCACTGAACCTCACCAGCAACCCACCCTCAACCATTCAGTGGTCTTTTGTTCTTCTCTGTTCCTCCTGAATGTTGATTACTCTCAGAAGGTGTTAAAAACTTGGATTTCTTTTTTTTTCCTTCTAGAGACAGGGTCTTGTTCTGTCACCCAGGCTGCAGTGCGGTGGCATGATCATGGTTCACTGCAGCCTGAAACCCCGGACTCAAACAGTCCTCCAACCTCAGCCTCCCAAGTAGCTGGGACTACATACATTTGCCCCTATGCCCAGCTAACTTCTTTATTTTTTATTGTACAGACGGGATCTTGCTGTGTTGCTCAGGATATTTTCAGACTCCTGGCCTCAAGTGATCATTCTGCCTCAGCTTCCCAAAGTGCTTGGATTATACGTAGGTGGAGCCACCTGTGTTCAATGCCCATTTTCTTTTTCTTTCTTTCTTTTGGAGACGGACTCTTGCTCTGTCACACAGGCTGGAATGCAGTGGCGTGATCTCGGCTGACTGCAACCTCCACCTCCCTGGTTCAAGCAACTCCCCTGCCTCAGCCTCCTGACTAGCTGGAATTACAGGAACATGTCACCACTCTCAGCTAATATTTTTGTATTTTTAGTAGAGACAGGGTTTCAGTATGTTGGCCAGACTGGTCTCGAACTCCCGAAATCAGGCAATCCACCCACCTTGGCCTCCCAGTGTGCTGAGATCAGAGGCGTGAGTCACCATGCCACGCCCAGCCATTTTTTAAATAATAACGTTATTGAAATATGATTAACATATCATGCAATTCATTTATCAAAGTACGCAATTCAGGCCGGGCACAGTGGCTAATTCCTATAACGCTAAGACTTTGGGCAGCTGAGGCAGGTGGATCACTTGAGTTCAGGAGTTTGCGACTAGGCTGGGCAACATGGCAAAACAGCATCTCTAGCAAAAATACAAAAATTAGCTGGGTGTGGTGGCTCATGCCTGTATTCCCAACTACTTGGGGACATGAGACTGGAAGATCACTTGAGCCTAGAAGCCGTAGGTTGCAGTGAGACCAGATGGCACCACTGCACTACAGCATGGGTGACAAAAGGAGACCCTGTCTCTAAATAACTAAAGAAAAAAAGAAAGTATACAATTGAGTGGTTTTTAGAATATTCAAGGAGCTGTGCATCCATCACTACAGTCTTTCTTAGAAGTGATTACCCACTTATGAGTTACCCACTTATGAGTGAGAAACCCTCACCTCTTAGCCACTACCTCCTACGTCCCCCATGTTCATAGGCAACCACTGATTTATTTTCTGTCATTGTAGTTTTGCCTAGTCTGGACCTTTTATAGAAATAGAATTGTACAATGTGTGATCTTTTGTAGTTTGCTTTTTTTTTCTCTTAGCAGAATGTTTTTAAATTTCTTTCATGTTATAGTGTGTATCAGGATTTCTTTCCTTTTATAGCTGAGTAATAGTTTATGTTTATCCATTCATTAGTTGATGGACATTTGTGTTGTTTTTGCGTATTCACCATCATGAGTCAGGCTGCTATGAACTCTCGTACGTAAGCTTTAGAGTGAACATATATTTTTATTTCTCTTGGATTTACACTCAGGAGTGAAATTGTTGCATTATGTGATTACTATACATTTAGTCTTTGAGAAACTGCCACATTGTTTTTCAAAGTGGTTACACTGGTCAGGCACAGTGGCTCACACTTTTAATCTCAGGTATTTGAGATGCTGAGTTTGGAGGATTTTCTTAGCCCGGGAGTTCAGGACAAGCCTGGGCAACATAGGGAAACAATGTCTTGATTTTTTAAAAACATCAAATGCCAAGAAAACACTCAAATTGATTACACCATTTTATGTTCCCACCAGTAATGTATCTGAGTTCCAATTATTCCAATTGTCACCAACATTTTTTTTTTTTGAGACAAAATCTTGCTCTGTTGCCCAGGCTGGAGTGCAGTGACATGAACATGGCCAGTGCAGCTGTGACCTTCCAGGCACAAGTGATCCTCTCACCTCAGCCTCCTAAGTAGCTGGGACTTACAGGTGCATGCTATCATGTGCAGCTGATTTTTACAGTTTTTGGTAGAAATGGGGTTTTGTGATGTAGCCCAGGTTTGTGTCAAACTCCTGAGCTCAAGTGATCTGCCTGCTTCAGCTTCCAGAAGTGCTGAGATTACAGGTGTGTGCCACCATACCCGACTGGTGTAACCACTTTGGAAAGCAGCCACCGAGCCCGGCCTTCACCAGTATACCAATATTTGTTAATATCGTTTTATTTTTTACAATTTTTCCATTTTTAAAAACTTATTCTTTTACCTGTATTATTGATTGTAATAAACAACAAATAATTTTGTAGTAGAGTTGAGTCCCCCCAAAAAGTATTTATTGTTTAACTGAAGTAGTTTTTTTTAAACCTGGATATATATTTTTTCATTTTCACTTTATTTTTAGTGTTTATTTTTAAAAATTATTTATATGTATTTTTATTTTAATAGGTGTTTGAGAAACAGGTGGTGTTTGGTTCCATGAATAAGTTCTTCAGTGTTGATTTCTGAAATGTAGTACCCCTCATTACTCATTAAATTATATATTAAGTCATTATAAAATCATTAATAAACCAAGGACTTTAGTAAAATGGGAATTTTATTTTAACTTGCAACCTGGGACGTAATTGTCAAAAAAAATTAGGGAAATTACCACATTAAGGTTTTAAAATCTTGAACTGAAAAATGAAAACTTTGGTGCACCTAAGAACCACCAGCCCACTGGTCAAGGTGAACAAAACTAAATGAAAAAATAAAACCAAGAAAAGCAAACAGGATTATTATGTATTCTGTAATGCTATTTTATCTTGGGACTCACAGAAAATAGTTATTATTATTATTACTATTATTATTATTATTATTATTTTGATACAGAGTGTCATTCTCTCACCCAGGCTGGAGTGCAGTGGCGCAATCTTGGCTCACTGCAACCTCTGCCTCCTGGGTTCAAGTGATTCTCCTGCCTCAGCCTTCAGAGTAGTTGGGATTACAGGCAGGTTCCACCATGCCTGGCTAACTTCTATTTTTGGTAGAGATGGGGTTTCACCATGTTGGCCAGGCTGGTCTGAAACTCCTGATCTCAAGCAATCTGCCTACCTTGGCCTCCCAAAGTGCTGGAATTACAGGCATGAGCCACTGTGCTCAGCTGAAAATAGTTAATTTTATGTATATTCCAAGTCCGAATACATCCTATTTTTGAATATTTGATGACTTTAGGATACTATATTAACTCTTAATTGAATTAATACAAGTTTAGGTGTAAAGATGATGTTTATGTTGACAAAAATTATTAATGTTTTACATATATGAAAGTAATAATATATCATATTTTTCATATTTATAGAATACTTTGAAATCTATTATTAGCTAATATTTTATATTCATTTTGGGTTTTCACATTATTGTTAGATACAGAGAAAACTACTATTTTGTGAATACTCAAATCATAAACATTTTGCTGGATACATTCATAGATACTTTATTTAAAAAGTACACTAATTGAAGTTTTACACCATTTTATGTTCATCAAACACAGCAATTGAATACTGGCGTATAGCAACATTACAGATGTTAGTCTAAGATAAAACTCATAACACATTTTAAAAAGGGTAAAAGGAAGGAAAGGAAAAAGGATACAAGGCTGTAGAAAGATTTTAAAAACAAACATCATATGTCTGAATCTTTGCCTGGAGTTTCATATTTTGTGAAAAGCAGTTTGTAAGTAGAGGACTGGTAAGTGCACCTAGTACATTGCAATGGCACAGACACGGCAGATAGTCAATAAAATGATCTTTAACTTCTGATCTAGGTTATTTTTGTTGTTGTTCATGTATTAACCTGTGAAACTCAGCCAATAGATGGAGTGGCATTGACCTGTACAACTTCCAAGATCCCATCCAAACTTAGTGTCCTCTGAAGTTCTCCATAATTTATTGTCTGTTCCAATCAACATTTAACATAAGCTACAGCTTATATTGTTAATAATCCTTCTATGTTTATGTGCTGATTTGAAAATAAATGGGCCTATATAGTCTTTATCTAGTGTTGGATTGGGGTCAAAAGTTTTATGAAATCATTGTTTTTAGTATATGTACAGATAGATAATTGTATAAATAAGTACAGATGTGTATAAATGTGTGAGTATACATACATACATTTTCTAGCTCCTCTAACAAAAGGGCCTAGAAACAACATCATCCCAGTAACAATGAGAACACCATTCTCCAGTTAAAGGAAACAAGGCTCCTTGGGGACATATTTGATATCAGGATTGGGCAGGGAAAATACAAGATTAGTTTGAAATATTTTGTCATGTTAGAAAGTAAGGAAATGCTCACAAAATGGGGAAAATGTGAAAAGGAGACAGAATCCACTTTGAATAAACTTCCATAGACAAATTTGAGAAAATTGGGGCAATAAAATAAATAACAATAGTAATATATTACAATCTACAGAAGAAAATTTTCGATTAATCCAGGCCGGGTGCGGTGGCTCATGCCTGTATTCCCAGAACTTTGGGAGGCTGAGGCAGGCAGACCACTTGAGGTCAGGAGTTTAAGACCAGCCTGACCAATGTGGTGAATCCCTGCCTCTACTAAAAATACAAAAATTAGCCGGGCATGGTGGCACATGCCCGTAGTCCCAGCTACTCGGGAGGCTGAGGCAGGAGAATGGCTTGAATCCCGGAAGGTGGAAGTGCAGTGAGCAGAAATCGCACCATTGCACACCAGCCTGGATGACAAAGCAAGACTCCATCTCAAAAAAAAAAAAAAAAATCCATATTGACATAAATAATAACCAAAGGTTGAGAATGGGCAGTATTTTATTACAGTAAGATTTCATTAAATGTAGGAGACATAAAATATAAGAATCATCACTTTGCAAATATCATAGTAATAATTGTTGCAAGAAAGAACCTTGGAGGGATGCTAAGATTAGTGGTGAATATATGTTGGGAAAGAACATATTTGCATAATATGAAAGTATCTTCCCACAAGATAATTATAGAATAGTAACTTCAAAGTGGAGATGTCAACTTAGCCAAGTGATCAAAGTTAACATTACTAATAATAAGATAAATGAACTTCATGTAACTTCTTATATGATGCACTGAGTAGGACAAAACATCAATTCTATGGTATTCTTAGACAAAATGTATAACTTTGGTCCTAATCGTGAGAAAACATCAGACTAACTGAAATTGAGGAGAGACATTCTACAAAATAACTGCCAGTATTCTTCAAAAGCATTTTAGAAAGACTGAGGAATTCACCAGAGACATGGAGACATGTTATGTAAGTGCAATGGAGAACATGCATTGTATCATGAACCAGAGATGGACAACAGTAGGATATATACAATAACACCCCAACATTTGAACATTAAACAAAATACTTCAGAAAAACCCATTGGGCAAGAAAAGTTTCACACACAAAAAAAATAGTTTAAACTGAAAGAAAAATTTTTAAAAACTTAATAAAATGTGGAATGCAGATAAATCATTTCTTAAAGCTACATTTATAGATGTAATATATTGAAAATAAAAGGCTTCAATCAATGACCTTTAGGTTCTAAGAGGCTAAAAAAATGAGCAAAGTATATCCAAATTAAGAAGAAGGAAGATGATAAAGATAAAAATGTAAACCAACAACACAGCAAATAACAAAAGCTGGAGCTAATTAATATACCCACAAATTGGTTCTTTGAAAAAAAAAATTTTAAATAAACAATGGCTAGCAAGATTTATCTCAAAAAAAATTAGAGAAGCTACATTATGTAGACAATGGGAATTAAATAGAGGATGTAACTACAGAACCTACAGACATCAATATAATTATGAAAACCTTAGGCCAATACATTTGACAAATAAAATAACATGGGAAATTATTTGTAAAACTAATTCTTAAAACTGATGCAAAATGAAATAGAAAAAGTAATAGCTTCTCTATGTATTGAAGAATTTTTTTTAATTTAAAAAGATTTCTATAATTACAGGCTACATGGTTTCTTAGGTGAATTCTATCAAACATTTAAGAAAGTACAGAGAGTCCTCAACTTATGGTGGTTTGACTTGTGCTCTTCTGACTTGATAATGGTGCTTTCATCTGTGTACATTAATGATGAGCATCAATATGACCAGTTTTTCACTATCAGTATAGTTTTCAATAAATTTCATGAGATACTCAATATTTTAAAATGGGCCTTGTGGTAGATGATTTTGCCCAATTGTAGGATAATGTAAGTGTTCTGAGCAAGTTTAAGGTAGGAGAGGCTAAGTCATGATATTCAGTAGGTTAAATATATTAAATGCATTTTAGACTTACAATATTTTCAATTTAGGATGAGTTCGTTAAGACATAAGACCATTGTAAGTTGAGGAGTATCTATAATATCAATCTTGAACGGACTCTTTTTAAGAAATAGAATTTAAGGGCTGGGCACAGTGGCTCACACCTGTAATCCCAGCACTTTGGGAGGCCAAGACGGGCAGATCACCTGGGGTCAGGAGTTTGAGACCAACCTGACCAGCATGGAGAAACCCCCGTCTCTACTAAAAGTACAAAATTAGCAGGGCATGGTGGTGCTTGCCTGTAATCCCAGCTCCTCGGGAGACAGAGGCAGGAGAATAGCTTGAATCTGGGAGGCAGAGGTTGCGGAGAGCCGAAATTGCACCATTGCACTCCAGCCTGGGCAACAAGAGTGAATCTCCATCTCAAAAATAAAAATAAAAATAAAAGAAAATTTAAAGGGACACTTCCTATCTTATTTTATGAACCCAGTATTGCCCTGATTCCAAATCAAGACAAAGGCATTATACAACTTTGACGTTTATCCCTCATAAACATAGACTCAAAAGTCCTTAAAACATAATAACCAATTGAATGTAGCAGTACATAGAATGGATAATAAACTGTGAACAAATTAAATTTCTAGGAAGATTGCAAGGTTAATTTATTATTTGAAAGATCAGTTTAATCAATTTTATTCACCTGGATGGTTACATCTGGCAAAACTCAGCAAACTGTGCACTTTAAAATAGTATTTATTTTATGTAAATTATGTTTCAATACAATTGATTTTTTAAAAAAAACGTTTCCCAGAGTGATCAAAGTGGAGGGCAGGGAACAGTAAACATCAGTGCTTATGTTATAGCTACTAGAAGCCTCCCAATTCCAACGACATGCTTTCAAGCAGGTCTGATCCTTCTCCTGGAGGATACCTCTGACCAAGGTGTGCTAAAAATGCATTGCCCCTAGTTGCTTCTGTCACCTTAGTGATGGAAGTGACAAGAGGGTACTGGAGAAAGAAAAGGTGTACAGGGTTCCAAATGTACTTTCTCTTTCCAAAGGACATTTGTGAAGCCAGTGGAAAGCGAACAAACAAGCTGCTAAATAAGTCACAAGTGTGTTCTTGTACAGTTTTGTGATTAACTAAATAGGACATTCAGCAGATAAAATTTGTTTTACATAGTTAATCCTCTAATAGGATGAACTTGTGGATTGTGAGATAGGGCTGATATAACCTGTTTTCTCTCTGCCTCTTTTTTTTTCCCCCAAGTTTTGTGTGCAATACATTAGGAAAAATATAATTGGGCTATAAAGCTACAAAAATGGCTTCCTGGAAGTTCCATGCTTTTTTCCATGTGGTGCCTATTTTTGGCACTGTGTTCTCATTTGCACTTTTCTACTTGATTAGTTAATGTATGAAGGACAAGCCTGATCTCTACTGTGAATTTCTACCAAGGTATTCTAGTAGAAAAATGAGTATGTAATGGTGCTGTGGAATGCTAAAGTGTGTAAAACATTAAGAATCTAAAAATATGCTCATTTCCAAGTTTTGTCCCAGAGCAACTGTGCACTCTGATTATATCGCTACTGCTATTTAAAGTTATCCATTTGCATGTCTAAAAAATAGATTCATACTGATTGTCCCATTTGATCTCAAAAAACTCCTGAATATGAGAGTCGTGATCAAGGGATGCTTCATGAAATGTTGCAAAGTTAAAGTGTGCAATGAAACCAGATTTATCATAGCCTTATTTAAAATAATTATTTCTAAAATTGTTATTGTTTAATTATAAACTGTATCCTTTCAGGATACTTGGAAGATCCATAGCAGTGTTTTTATTTTCACAGAACAAGCATAAATTATTTATGAAATAATAACTCAGATACAGAGATTACTTCCTATTGACCTTACATATGAATATAAATAAATAAATATTATGAACATGAGCATACTTATTTTATAATTATGTAAATGTGTGTGTAATGTTATATATAAGTTCAATAAAGTCATGCTTATACATGGTTTCAATTCATGCTTCTAAAAACCACTCAATGTAGTCATTATCATATGTTAATAAGTAATCTCCGAAAATGTGCTTCTAGTAGTTGCACAATATCCCATCATAAAGATTGTCATGCTGTTTTTAAGTCATACTTTTGGGTATATAAGTTATATCTGATATTTTTCTGCTACATATATACTATTATAAATCTATTAGTAGTTGATTTTTTGTCAACACATATGATTGTTTCCTCACAATAGTACAAGAGTTGGTTGTAACTTTATTTCCTTCCAACATTTATTTTAGGTTCAGTGGGTACATGTGGAGGTTTATTATATGGGTAAAATGTGTGTCAGTGGGATTTGGTGTACAGATTATGTAGTCATCCAGATAGTGAGCGTAGTATCTAATAGGGAGTTTTTTGATCCCCACTCTCCCCCCCCACCCTCCACCCACAGTAGACCTTGTGTCTATTGTTCCCTTCTTTGTGTCCATGTGGACTCAATGTTTAGCCCCCACTTATAAGTGAGAACATGCTGTGTTTGTTCGGTTTTCTGTTCCTGCATTAATTCACTTAGAATAATGGTATCCAGCTCCATTCATGTCGCTGCAAAAGACATTATTTCATCCTATTTTATAGGTGTGTAGTATTCCATGGTGTGTGTACGCTGCATTTTTTTAATCCAGTCTTCTGTTAACAAGCATCTAAGTTGATTCCGTGTCTTTGCTATTGTGAATAGTGTTATAATGAAAATATGCGTGCATATGTTTATGACAGAATGATTTATATTCCTTTGGGTATATACCCAGTAATGGGGTTGCTGGGTTGAATGGTAGTTCTGTTTTAAGTTATTTCAGAAATCTCCAAACTGCTTTCCACAGTGGCTGAACAAATTTACATTCCTGATGTAACTGGAGAGTTCCCTGACTCCCCTTGGCAGGATGTGCAACAGGGATGTGGCTTCTCTGGCCACTGTGTGTGCTGTCAAACCCCTTACTGGGCAGGGGAGCATGCAGACAGGCAGGTGCAATAGGCAGGGCAAGTGGCCATGGTACTGTCTAGGGGTGGGTGCCTGTGACTCCCACAGCCCAAGTGTGCATGTGTTACAGTGCACTTTTTTAGCTTTGCCATCCACAGACGGCTTAAGTGTTAACCTGTTCAGTGTCCTCTTGGTACCCAGTTCCTTGTCCAGCATCCAGAAAGAATTAAGTTGCACACAGACTTGAGGATGGTGAATGTGGGGGTTTTATTAAGTGGTAGAGGTGGCACTCAATGGGATGGATGGGGAGCTGGAAAGGGGATGGAATGGGAAGATGATCTTCCCCGGGAGCTTTGCCATCCAGAGGCTGATCTCTCCAACCACTGCCAGCCAAACTCCTCTTGGCATTCAGATGCTCCTTCTCTTCTTTCTGCCACATCATTCTGCAATTCTGCTCTTCTGTTCATCTCCTCATGTGCTTGTCTGCTTCTGGAGCCTGGGGTCTGGGGCATATATGGGTACAGGACAGGGGGTGCATGGTGAGCTGAAAGACAACTTTTGGGTACAAAAGCAGGAATGCCTGTTCCCATTTAGTGCCGTGGGTTTCCAGGCTTGTGGGCAGGGCTTTGCCAGGGAACCACTCTCTTCTACCCAGTATTTCCCTGTTTCCTTTCTATATCACCACCAGCAGTGTATAAGCATTCCCTTTTTTCCACAAACTCAGCACTGTCTGTTATGTTTTGATTTTTTAATAATAGCCATTCTGACCGGTGTGATATGGTATCTCATGGTTCTGATTTTCTGATGATTAGTGATGTTGAGTATTTTTTCATATGGTTGTTTGCCACACATACGTTGTCTTTTGAAAAAAGAATCCACAGACGGCTTAAGTGTTAACCCGTTCAGTGCCCTCTTTGTACCCAAGTCCTTGTCCAGCATCCAGAAAGAAGTTGCACATGGACTTCAGGATGGTGAATGTGGGGGTTCATGTTCTTTGCCTATTTGTAGTGGGTTTGTTTTTTGCTTATTGATTCTTTATACATGCTGAGTATTAGACCTTTTTCAGATATGTAATTTGAAAATATTTTCTTCTGTTCTGTAGGGTGTTCTCTGTTGATAGTTTCTTTTGCTGTGCTGAAGCTCTTTAGTTTCATTAGGTCCCACTCATCAATTCTTCTTGTTGCAATTGCTTTTGGAATCTTCATCGCGAAATCTTTGCCAGCGTCTATGTCCAGAATGATATTTCCTAAGTTTTCTTCTAGGGTTTATATAGTTTTGGGTCTTACATAAGTCCTTCATCCATCTTGAGCTGATTTTTGTATATGGTGAAAGGAAGGGAGTGTACATGCCCCTGTGATATTGTTCCTAATATCCAGGTTGGGAGAGGATATTATACTCAATATTGCAGGAGGTGTTGACCACCCTGAATATTGCTCTTAATATCTGGGAAGAGAGGGTGATATTACTCCCAATATCATCCTCTCCCCCCACACCCTGCATAGTACAAACAATATCAAAGGGGGTCTGTGCAACACGTGCAATATTGGGAGTAATATCCTCCCCCAATATGGATATTAGAAACAGTATCACAAGGGGTTGTACACCACCTGCGATATTGGGGAGTACTATCATTTTCTTTCCCCATGGATATTTAGAACAATATCACAAAGGCGGTGTACAACCCCTGCTATATTGGGAGTAATACTGTACTTTCCCCACCTAGATATTAGGAACAATATCACAGGGGGTTATACACCACTGCAACATTGGGAGTAATATCATCCTTTCCCTCCCTGGATATTAGGAACAATACCTCATGGGTGTGCACCCTGTTCCATATTGGGATTAATATTTTCTCCCTTGCTGGACATAAGGAACAATATAACGGGGGGTATACACTCCTTATGATATTGCCAGTAATATTATAGACTCCCCCCAGGGATATTAGAAACAGTATCAGAGAGGGGTATACATCCCCTGTGATATTGGGAATAATATTCTTTATTTCCCTGGATATTAGGAATAATATCACAAAGGGGTTATATACCCCCTGTGACATTTTAATTAATATCATCTTCCCCACTGAATATTAGGAACAAATTCCCAGGGGGTTGTACACCACCTGCAATATGGACAGCTATATCATTGTCTCTTCCCCGAATATTAGGAACAATATCACAAGGGGGTTGTACACCCCCTGTGATATTGGGAGTAACTTTATACCCTTTCCACATGGATATTAAGAACAATATCACAGGGTGGGTGTACACCCACTGCGATATTGGGAGTAATATCATCCTCTACCCCCTGGGTATTACGAACAATATCATGGGGAGGGGGTGTATGCCCTCTGTGGTATTGGGAGTAATATCATCCTGTCCCCTCTGGATATTGGGAATGATATCACAGAGGGGCTGTACCTTTTCTGCACTATTGGGAGTAGTATCACCCTCTCCGCCTATGGATATTAGGAACAATATCACAAAGGGGGTGTACACATCCTGCGATATTGGGAGTAATATTGTCCACTCTTCCCCAGAATATTAGGAACAATATCATAGGCGGAGTGTACACCCCCTGCTATTTTACCTGTAATATTATTCTCTCCCAACCTGGATATTAGAAATAATATAACAGGAGGGGTGTACACCACCTGTGATATTGGGAGTAATATCATTCTCTCCCCCCATGGATATTGAGAACAATATCACAGGGGCAGTTTACACCTCCTGTGACATTTAGAGTAATATCATCCTTTTCCCCCATGGATATTAGGAACGATATTGCATGGGAAGTGTACACCCCCACCATATTGGGAGTAATATTTTCTCCCTTGCTGGACATTAGGAACAATATCACGGGAATGCACACCCCCTGCGATATTGCCAGTAATATTGTAGTCTCCTCCCAGGATATTAGGAACAATACCACAAGGGGGGTATACATGCCCTGTGATATTGGAAGTAATATCATCGACTCCCCCCACGGATATTAGTAACAATATCAGAAGGGGTGTACACCCCTTGTGATATTTATAGTACTATCATCCTATACCCCCTGGATATTAGGAACAATACCACGGGAGGGGGTGTATACCCACTGTGATATTGGGAGTAATTTCATCCTCTACCCCTTGGATGTTAGGAGCGGTATCACAAGGGGGGTTTGCACCCTCTGTGATATTAAAAATAATACCATTCTCTCCTCCTCTGGATACTAGGAATAATATCACAGGGCTGGTGTGCACCCTTTGCACTATTTGGAGCAATATCACCCTCTCCCCAACTTGATATTAGAGACAATATCATGGGGGATGGCATGTAACACCCTGCACTGTTGGGAGTAATATCATCTAGTCTTCCCCTGTATATAAGAAACAGTGTCACAGAAGGGGTCTACACCTCCTGAGATTTTGGGAGTAATATCATCCTCTCCAAATCTGGATATTAAGAACAGTATAATGGAGTGTGGGGTGTAATATGTTGGGAGTAATACAATCCTTCCCCCCCACTTGATATTAGAAACAATATCGCAAAACGTGTGTACACCCACTGCGATATTTGGAGTAATATCAACATTTCCCCACCTGGTATCATGGGGAGAGTGTACACTCCTTACGATATTGGAAGTATCATTGTCTCTCACTCTCGATATTAGGAAAAATAGCACAGGGTATGTGTACACTCCCTGTGATTTTGGGAAGAACATCATACCCTTCCGTCTTTGATATTAGGAACAATATCACAGAGGGGGTGTACAACTTCTGTGATATTGTAATATTCTTTCTTCCCATGGATATTAGGAATGATATCCCGGGGGGGCTTGTTGTACACCCCCTGTGATACAGACAGTAATATCATTGTCCTTCCCCCTACATATTGGAACAATATCACAAGGGGTGTGTACACCCCCTGGATATTAGAAGCTATCACAGGGGGGCTGTACAACCTCTTTGATACTGTGAGTAATACCATTGTCTCCCCTCCTGGATATTAAGAACAATATCATAGGGTGGGTGTACACCCCCTGCAATATTGGGAATAACATCATCCTCTCTTCCCCGGGATATTAGGAACGGTATCACAGGTGGGGTTTACACCCCCTGCAATTTTGTCAGTAATATTACTTCTGGATGTTATTGAATATATCACAGTGGGGGTGTACACCCCCTGTGATATGGGGAGTAATAGCATCCTCTTTCCCTCTGGATACTACAAACAATATCGCAGGTTGTGTACAACCTCCTGTGATATTGTTCACAACATTTAGGGGAGGAGAGGATGATATTACTCCACATATCGCAGGGAGTGTTACATCCTCTGTAATATTGTTCATAATATTTAGAAGAGGACAGAATGATATTACTCCCAATATAGTAGGAAGTATACACTCCCCTGTGATACTGTTCATAATTTTTAAGGGATTAGAGGATGATATTACTTCCAGTATCACAGGGAGTGTACACTGGTGATATTGTTTATAATTTTCAGTGGATTCGAAGATATTCTGAATATCACAGGGGTTGTACATCCCCGTGTGATATTGTTAATATCCAGTGGGAAAGAGGATTATATTACTCCCCATATCACGGGGGATGTAAACCCGTTTGTGGTATTGTCACTTACATCCGTGGGGGAGAGGATGATATTACTCCGCATATCATAGAGGGTGCACACGACTGTAATGTTGTCCATAACATCCAGAGGGGAAGAGAATATTATTCCCATGTTTCAGAAGGTGTACACACCCCTGTGATAGTTTCTGTAACATTTAGGGAAGAAGGGGATGATACTACTCCAGATATCGCAGGGGCTGTACACCCCCCTGTGATACTGTTCGTAACGTTTAGGGGGAAGAGGATGATATTACTCCCCATATCGAAGGGATTGTACATCTCCCTATATATTGTCCATAACATCCAGGGCAGGAGAGGATATTACTACTCCCCATATTGCAGGGGGTGGACACCCCCCTGTAAATATCTCTAACATCCAGGCGGGGACAGGAGGATATTATTCCCCATATCGCAGAGAAAGTAAACCTCCTGTGATATTGTCCATAACATCCAGTGGGGAGACGATGATATCACTTCCCATATTGCAGAGGGTGCACACTCCACTCTGATATTGGCTGTAATATCGGGGGGGTGAAGTATGAAGTCACTACACATATCGCAGAGATTATTAGTATCAGTTTATTTGAAGGGCTCACAGTAAGGGTAGTAGTAGGGTGAGTTCTAACTCAAATAGGGGAAATGTGATGGCTACTAGAAATAATTTTATGGAGAAGGGAATGTGGGCAGAGGATAGAGGGTCAAATCTGCATTCATAAGGGCTAGATTTTTCTATATATATTTATTTTATACATATATATATATTTTTCTCTCTATATATATATATATATTAAGTTGTGGAAGCCAAAATGTAATAATTATTAGTAACAGGGCTAATAGGATGTTGATTACTAGAGTTAATGTTAGGTGAATTACTGTTTTTCGGATGCTATCGAAACTTTGGAAATCATGGTACTATTTATACTAAAAGAGTAAGATCCTCATCAATAAATAGAAACATACAAGAATAGTCATACTACATCTACAAAGTGTCGATATCAGGCAGCGGCTTCAAAGGCAAAGTGATGACTAGATGTAAAGTGGTATTTTAATTGGCGGAGAAGGCAGAGGAATGTTGATCCAATAATGACGTGAAGTCTGTGAAAGCCTGTAGCTATAAAAAATGTAGAGCCATAAATACCATCAGAAATAGCAAAGGTAGCTTTGAAGTATTCTGAGACTTGTAGGAGGGTGAAGTAAATACCTAATATAATTGTAATAAGTAGTGCTTGGATTGTATGTTTTTGATTAATTTTTGTTAGGCTGTGATGGGCTCAAGTAATTGAAACTCCTGATGCAAGTAATACAGATGGATTCAGAAGAGGTACTTCCAGGGGGTCAAGGGGAGAAATACCTGTTGGGGGTCAATGTCCTACTAATTCTGGAGTAGGGGCTAGGCTAGAATGGTAGAATGCTCAAAAGAATCCAGCAAAGAGAAATATTTCTGAGATAATAAATAAGACTATCCCATATTGGAGGCCTTTTTGAACGGCTGTTGTATGGTGGCCCTGAAATGTACTTTCTCAGATACAGATCACCCTTGGTCAATTGAATACAGATCAATCACTTTAAGTAAGCTAAGTCCTTACTAAATTGATGAGACTTAAACCCACGAAAACTTAACAGCTAAACTCCCTAGTCAACTGATTTGAATCTACTTCTCCAGCTGCTGGGGGAAAAAAGGTGAGAGAAGCAGGATTGAAGCTGCTTCTTTGAATTTACAATTCAACATGAAAATCACCTCGGGACTGGTAAAAACAGGACTTGACCTCTGTTTTTAGATGTACAGTCTAATGCCCTACTCAGTCATTTTACCCTTTTTTCTCACTTCATTTATGTTGGCTGACAGTTGACTATTCTCAACCAACCATAAAGATATCGGGACATTATATTTATTATTTGGCACATGAGCAGGGATAGTCAGTACAGCTTTAAGCCTTATTCGAGCTGAACTCTACTAGATGATCAAATTTATGTCATTGTTATAGCCTATGCATTTGTCATAATTTTCTTTATAGTAATACTATAATTGGAGGTCTTGGCAACTGCTTAGTCCCCCTGATAATTGGTGCCCCAGATATAGCATTTCTCTGCATAAATAATATGAGCTTCTGACTCCTCCCACCCTCCTTCCTATTATTACTTACATCCACTATAGTAGAAGCCGGCACTGGAACCGGCTGAACAGTCCTCCCTTAGCAGGAAACCTAACACATGCAGACGCCTCTGTAGATTTCACTATCTTTTCACTCCACGTGGCAGGTGTTTCTTCTACTTCAGGGGCTATTAACTTTATTACCACAATTGTTAATATAAAACCCCCAGCCATGTCCCAATATCACACACCCCTCTTCATCTGATTAGTCCTAATTACAGCAGTTCTTCTACTCCTTTGTCTCTGAGTCCTAGCCGCCGGCATCACTATACTGTTAACTGACCGCAATCTTAATACTACTTTTTTCTACCTGGCTGGCGGAGGTGATCCTATCTTATATCAGCATTTATTCAGATTCTTTAGTCACTCTGAAGTCTACATCCTCATCCCACTGGGCTTTGGGATAATTTCCCACGTCGTAACATACTATTCTGGAAAAAAAAGAACCATTCAGGTATATGGGCCTAGTGTGAGCTATAGGATCAGTTGGGTTCTTACGGTTTATTGTATGGGCCCACCGTATATTTATGGTAGGGATAGATGTGGATACATGAGCCTGCTTCACCTCTGCTATTATAATTATTGCTATTCCTACTAGCGTCAAAGTTTTTAGCTGACTAGCTAGCTACACTTCACAGCGGTAATATCAAATGATCCCCCGCAATGCTGTGAGCCCGGGGATTTATTTTCCTTTTTACAGTAGGAGGCCTAACCGGCATTGTATTGGCCGAGGCTTATATTATGGTTCATTCATATATTTAGAAACCTGAAAGTTTCTAAATAAGTTGTAAAAAAGTTCTAAATAACCCCAGCTGAAATAACTACGAAGGTGCCTTTAATATTCTGAAGACAAAATAGTTAAGATCCAAACTGGGAGTAGATACCCCGCTATGCTTAACCCTAAACTCGAACAGTTAGATCAACAAAACTGTTCGCCAGAACACTACAAGCAACAGCTTAAAACTCAAAGGACTTGGCCATGCTTTATATCCCTCTAAAGGAGCCTGTTCTATAATCGATAAACCCCAATTTATCTCACCACCTCTTGCCCAGCCTAAATACCTCCATCTTCAGCAAACCCTGGAAAGGCCACAGAGTAAGCACAAGTATCTACATAAAAACGTTAGGTCAAGGTGTAGCCCATGAGGTGGCAAGAAATGGAAACGTTTTCTACATCCAGAAAAATCTCGCGACAACCGTTATGAAATCTAAGGGCTCAATGAGGATTTAGCAATAAATTGAGAGCAGAGTGTTTAATTGAATAAGGCCATGAAGCACGCACACACCGCCCATCAGCCTCCTCAAATATATTCTAGAAACTCGTTGTACACCCCCCTGTGATATTGTCCATAATATCCAGGGAGGGAGAGAATGATTTGATTTTTTTTTTTGAGACAGAGCCTCGCTCTGTTACCCGGGTTGGAGTGTAGTGGCCTGATCTGGGCACACTGCAAGCACCGCCTCCCAGGTTCACACCATTCTCCTGCCTCAGTCTCCCTAGTAGCTGGGACTACAGGTGCCCGCCACCGCGCCTGGCTAATTTTTTTGTATTTTGAGTAGAGACGGGGTTTCACCATGTTAGCCAGGATGGTCTCGATCTCCTGATCTCGTGATCCCCCCGCCTCGGCTTCCCAAAGTGCTGGGATTACAGGTGTAAGCCACCGCGCCTGGCCAGAGAGAATGATTTTACTCCCCATATCGCAGGGGATTTACATTCCCCTGCATTATTTTTCATAATATCCAGGGGGAAGATGAAGATGTTACTCCCCATATAGCATGGGAGAACAATTCCCTGCGATATTGTTCATAATATCTCTGGGGGGAAAGAATGATATTTCTCCTTTTATCGCAGGAAGTGTACACTCCCCTTGTGATATTGTTTATAATATCTAGTGGGGGAGAGGATGATGTTACTCCCCATATTGCAGGGGGTGTACAACCCCCTAGAATATTGTTCGTAATATCCATGCGGGGAGGAGATGATGTTACTACCCATATCGCCAGGGTGTACTGCCCCCTGCCATATTGTTTGTAATATCCAGGCTGGGAAAGGATGATATTACTCCCTGTATTACAGGGGATGTACACACCCCTGCGATATTATTAGTAATATCCATGGGGGAGATAATACTACTTCCAATACCATAAACACCCTGTGTGTACACCCTCTGTGATATTGTTTGTAATATCCAGGGTGGGAGAGGAGTATATTACTCCCTATAAGGCAGAGTGTGTATACACCCCTCTGTGATATTGTTCATAATATCCACTGGGGGATATGATATTACTCCCAATATTGTAAACACCTCATGTGTACACCGTCTGTGATATTGTTTGTAATATCCAGTGGGGGAGAGGATGATATTACTTTCCACATCGCAGGGGGTTTACACCCCTCTGTGATACAGTTTGTAATATCCAGAGGGGGAGAGGGTTATATTACTCCTCATATCGCAGGACATGTACACCCCCCTGTGATATTGTTTGTAATATTGTTCCCAATATCCTTTTCCCCCATGGATATAGGAACAGTATCGCATAGGACGTGTACACCCCCTGCCATGTTGGGAGTAGTAGTGTTTTCTCCCTTGCTGGACATTAGGAACAATACCATGGGGGAGGGGTGCACACCTCCTGCGATATTGACAGTAATATAATCCACTATCCCCTAAATATAGGAACAATATCACAATGGGGATGTACACATTTGGCGATATTGAAAGTGATATGATCCTCTCCCCACCTGGATATTAGGAACAATATCACAGAAGGGGTGTACACCCCCTGCAATATTGAGAGTAATATCCTCTCCCCCCCGCCGGATATTAGGAGCAATATCACAGAAGGGTTTTACACTCCCTGCGATATTGACAGTAATAACCTCTCCCCCCCGGATATTAGGAACAATATCACAGAAGAGGTGTACACCCACTGTGATATTGACAGTAATTTCCTCTCCCCCCTGAATATTAGGAACAATACCACGGGTGGTGTACACCCCTGCGATATTGACAGTGATATCATCGTCTCCCCCCCAGATATTAGAAACAACATCACCGAAGGAGTCTACACCCCCTGTGATATTGACAGTAATATCCTCTCCCCCCCAGATATTAGGAACAATAACACGGGAGGATGTACACCCCCTGTGACATTGACAGTAATATCAACCTCTCCCCCCCCCCCCCGGATATTAGGAAGAATACCACGGGGGGTGCACACCCCCTGTGATATTGGGAGTAATATCACCCACTATCCCCTAAATATTAGGAACAATATCACAAGGCGGGGAGTACACCCTCTGCAATATTGGGAGTAATGTCATCCTTTCCCTGCCCCTGCCTACTAGGAATAATATCACAGGGAATGTACACCCCCATGCGCTATTGGGAGTAACATCACCCTTTCTTACCATGGATATTAGGAATAATATCACAAAAGTGGTGTACACACGCTGCACTGTATAGAACAAAGCAGTCAGAGGAAGGTGGGATAACCTTGCTAGCTGAAGCTTCTGGCTCTCTTTTTTTCTTCTTCCCGTGCAGGACACTTGCTTCCCTTCTTCCTGCCCTTGGACATGAGACTCCAGGTTCTTATGCCTTTGGACTCTGGGACTTGCATCAGCCGCTTCCCCAAGGCTCTCAGGCCCTCGGCCTCATACTGAAGCACTGCGGGCTTTCCTGGTTTTGAGGCTTTTGGACTTGGACTGAGCCACTACTAGCTTCTCTCTTTCCCTACCTGGCAGACAGCCTATTGTGGGACTGCCTTCTAACCGTGTGAACCAATTCTCTCTCGTAAACTCCCTTATACATATATGTGTATCTTGTTGGTTCTGTCCCTCTGGAGAACCCTGACTCATACATTTTGTTTATTTTTTCTCCACTGCCCTTTCCTCTGCTTCTAGGCTTACCTAGACCACCACCATTCTTTCCCCCTTTCTAAAGTAAAAGTTGTTTTTTTCTCACTAAATGCATGGTATTCTGCCCGTTTTCCATCGCTTCCCTCAGCCCTGCTCTGTTTATTCTTGCTCTCTTAAGAGGAAATCCCTGCCTCTTCCGTGGCTTTTCCCACTTGGTCTACGTACTGGTTTCTGTTGTTCTCAGAGACACACTGAGACCTTTCACATCTCACTGTCACTTCTTGGAAGGGCTCTCTACCTCGTCTGCCTGCTGAGCAACCTCTTGGGGAGACGCGGGCACTCTTGAGTCACTGAACTTGAGCTATTTGGTGTTGGTATGTTAATTTATCTTCTTAGACCACTTACCACTTCTTTAACTTCAAAAGAGAAGAGTAAGTATTATTTTCCATGGTTGATATGAAGAGTAGAAATAACTTATACAAAATGCATTGCAGTTAAGTGATAATAAATGGCCGTGAAGGCCCTTATTAATGTTATTCTATCAGTCTTGGCTCAGATACCATCTGCTCTGTGAGCTCTGCTCTGAATCATATCTGCTTCTTCGCTGGGTTCCTTGTGCTCTGTTCTTAACTACTTAGCAGTAATTGTTCTGATTCTAATTAGTGATTCTTCCCAATAAAATTTTAATTTTGTAGATCTCTTCCCCCCACCCCTGCCCCAGCCTAACCAGTGTTTTCTTACTTTTTTGTGTACAGGCTACATCACTGGTCTTCTTTTATTTGTGGCTAAATAAATGTTGTGTTAGAAGAGTAAAGAGTTCCCAGTTACATGGGATGTATAGTTCTACAAAATGAATGTACACATAATCCATGTAAATATTTCACTTATTTTAAAACAATTTTTTAATTTTTACATTAAATTTAATTTGTGCATGTGTGTGAGACCAGAGTGAGACCAGAGATGGCGGCGGTGAGGGGCGGTGATCTCACCATGTTGCCCAGGCTGGTCTTGAACTCCCCTTTAAGTGCCCCCCTCCTCACCTTGCCCCCCTCACCTTGCCTCCTCCCCTCTCATTCCTATGCCAGCCCCTGCCATTCCCCACCCCCTCTGTAGACCGCAAGACTCAACAAGTGACTTGCTGAGCAAACCCTGCTGAGAAGAGGTCTGTTTAGGGACACAGGAGGCCAAGTACACAAAAAAGCAAAAGAACTAGCATGCCCTTTTCAATGGATGTCTGTTTTACAGGGCTGGCTTCAGATTATTGTTATAGCTTGAAATAAATAAAAGGACCGTTTTGTCATCTCGGCCCATGGCCTACATTATTTCTTTACTGTCCATTGCCCTGGGCACTTGACTAATAATTTAACAGCAGTTTTTTTTTTTTTTAATTTTAAATCATGATTCATTGCATTGCTGTAAGAGTAATTAGCGGTAAAGTAGGGCTTGAAACTGCCTGTAGTTGGTTACTTACTGAGATCTTAACATAATTGTCAGGTGAGAGGGTGAAGTTTTAATTAGCGCTAAGTGGGATAGAAATTCAATGCACTGAAACTGCAGTGTCCAATTCAGTAGGCGCTAGCCACTTGTAACTGTTGAGCACTTGAAATCCTGGCTAGTCCTAATTGAGATGTGTTTTGTTAAATATACTGGATTTTGTCATTGGAGTGGGAAGAACAGCGTAGAATATCTGCTTGATAATTTTTTATATTGATTGCATGTTAAAATTATTACTATGATTACTATTTGGGACATACTGAGTTAAGTATATTTAAAATTAATTTCACCTTTTCTTTTAATGGGGTTTACTAGTACATTTAAAATTACATATATGGCTCACATATTTATTGGACAGCACGGCTCTAGAAGTTTAGGAAGAAATAAGAAAAATATTGAGAATAGGTAGCGAGAGTAGGAAGTTTGACCTCCTGTAAGACTGATTCCAATAAAACCAATAGGTGATAGTTTTAATTGGCTTTTTCCTACTAGAAAAAGTAAGTGTACTTTACATGCCTCTTTGTTCTCCCTCTTTCCCCTTCAATTTAGTGGTTAGAGTGTATATACTATATCAGGCTTAATATTCACTAAGCAGTGTTAAGAAGACTTAGGTAAATGATTCCCTGATGAACACACTTGATTTTCAAAGCACTTTCCTAACCCATTTTTAATTGGAATAGAGTCAAAGGTAGATGGCTTATTAGTAGTCATCTCATTTAAATCTCATGGAATTTTCCTGCTAAATCTCAAAGTAAACAATTTGTTATAGGCTGTTTTGTCAAGTGTATGGAAGGGACAGCATAGGACATGTGGTACTTCATTTCCAAATTGCTTGAGATGGTTTTCATTATAATCATACTTTATTTGCTTCTGGTTTTCCGGAAAAGCCAGCTAAACTTGTGGTTCATTTAGATATAAATGAAATATCCTCAAAGGATTGCTCAAAGTGACTTATGAAACTTGAATATATATTTTTTCTGTAGGGTGTTTATTCCAAATTGTCTGGCCATTTGCTGCAATTTGCAGTTTTTTAGAAAATACCAAATATTTTTCAAGTTGGAGATGTTTTAATAAAAACAGTCATTTTGAACTGGCAGCAGCCAAATAAAATGGCCCTTTATTTCACAGTTGAGAATTTGAAATTGGAAGGTAATTAGCATATGTAAGGATGATGTATTTGCTGCCTGGCTTATAGGAATGAGCCAAGTTGTTTTTTGAGGGATGTTGTTGCTGTGTATGTCCCACTTATTTTGCTTCCTTAATGAACAATGCAACTTTGAGACAGAAGTATTTGAGAACATTTTTATCAGTTGCGACATTTTGATAGTGAACATTTTATATCTTCTGTCAACTTAAAATGTTTGCATCTTCTGTCAGCTTAAAATGTTTAATTTTTTATAGCCAAATAATTTGGCTATAATTGATAAGTTAATTTATCAAATTAAATTGCTTTTTTTCCCTTTAGACTTTCTTCAGTCACATCTGAATAAATCACTTAGAAGTAAGCTAGATGTAATATAATGAAATGCTTAAAAGGGCTGTGTATCTTCATATTACACTTACAGTGATTTTCTGTTGTACCCATTATATTCTACCTGCAGCTAGTTGAGGTAAAGAGTGGACATTTAACTGTCAAGGGAACCTGAGAGGAGACTGTAGAAATCTGGAAAGTCTCTTGGGTCTTTGAGGGATTTTGGGATGCAGAGAGTGGGGTTGGGATCTCTGGCTAGGTTGGAGCCAGCCTGCATTTGTATCTTTATCTTGGAAGCAAACTTAGAATGCAGAGATATATGTGGCCTGGATGCTGCTAACTCTAGCCAACCACTAAATCTTAAGGTGGGAGAGATGCAGGCTTTGGCTGGGTGCTAAGCTGCTGTAGCTGGTTGAATGTAGAGGTCACTATCTTTTCTGAATATTTGTAAGTAAATTAAATCATTCTCTACTCCTGTATGCCTGCCAACCAAATGGGAAATCGCTATAGAAAAGATGGTTTAAATTTTAGTCTTTGAAGTGGTTTATGCACGTTTCTGGAATCAAGATTTAACGTGGACTTGGATTGGATATTGAATATTTTTGATTTGTCTACTTTTCTCTCCATAGGGAGCTTATAGCTTCATTGCACTGTGTGTGGCATTTGGGTCCTGTTTGGCAGCAATGACTGCCTTTCTGTTTAGTGTCTGTGTGCTATGAAGATTGCACACAGGGGTCCAGATGCATCCTGTTTTGAGAATGTCAATGGATACACCAGCTGCTGCTTTGGATTTCACCCATTGGTGGTAGTTGACCTGCTGTTTGGAATGCAGACAATTTAAGTGAAGACATATCCATATATGTGGCTCTGTTACAATGGTGAAATCTACAACCATAAGAAGGTAGGGAAAAAGAAGCCAGATGTCTGGATGCGATTAAACTTCAGAGGTTGTTGGTTACGATGACATTATGTATTCTGTATCATGCTTTTTACTTTGCAAAGCATTCTATGTTATCTCATTTGCTCTAAGTGTGTAGATAGGGAACTGATGAATAAAATGGTGAGTGAAATCACTTGGTCACAAAAAAAGTGATAAAAATGGGGATTACACAGTTTCTTTGACTCTTAGAATTTTTTCTCCTTCTCCCCAGCTTTTTGTTTTGAAAAAAATTCTAACATACAGAACAGAATAGTGAGCACCTAGATTGAATAATCATTAATGTTTTGCCATATTTGCTTGATTTTTCTTTCTACACACACACACACACACACACACACAGTTTTTTGCCAAATCATTTGAGAGTATGGTGCAGATTTTGTGACACTCCTAAATATATAAGCATTTATCTCCTAAGAATAAGGACATTTTTCTCCATAACATCAATACCATTATTAAACCTAAGAATCCATAATATCACCTGGCTGGGTGCAGTGGATCACACCTGTAATCCCAGCACTTTGGGAGGCTGAAGTGGGTGGATCACAAGGTCAGGAGGTCGAAACCATGCTGGCTAGCACGGTGAAACACCGTCTCCACTAAAAATACAAAAATAAAAAAATCAGACAGGCGTGGTGGTGGGCACCTGTAGTCCCAGCTACTTGGGAGGCTGAGGCAGGAGAATGGTGTGAACCTGGAAGGTGGAGCTTGCAGTGTGCCAAGATTGAGCCACTGTACTCCAGCGTGGGAGACAGAGCAAGACTCTGTCTCAAAAAAGAAAAAAATAAAACCATAATGCCACCTAATATGCAGTTAATACTTAAATTTCCCTAAGTGTCTGGAGAATTTTTTTTTTTTTTTTTTTTTTGAGACAGAGTCTCAACTTTGTCACCCAGGCTGGAGTGCAGTGTTGCGATCTCGGCTCACTGCAACCTCTGCCTCCCGGGTTCAAGCGATTCTCCTTCTTCAGCCTCCTGAGTAGCTGGGACGACAGGCCCACCTGTCACCATGCCTGGCTAATTTTTTGTATTTTAGTAAAGACTGGGCCCAGGGTGGTCTGGAACTCCTGAGCTCAGGCAATCTGCTCACCTTGGCCCCTCAAAGTGCTACCAAGAATATCTTTATAGCTGGTATTTGTTTGTTTAGAGACAGATTTCATTCAAGATTTATGCATTTGGTTGTGATGTTTCTTGGTATTTTTTCTGAGACTTCTTGATAGATACCTGTCATGCACTGATAGAGAGTTATATCCTAACCATGTTTTGGACATTTTTATCTCTGAATAATAGCTTTTGTCTTTGTTTGTTGCCTGCTCACGGGAACACTCTTAATAACAGTCTTCTTGTTCAAAAAGTTTTAAAATAGTTATTCAAGAAATTCCTTTCACACATTTCTTTATTCCTTTATTAAGGGCCTAATATGCACCAGACATCATTTTTCTAGGTGATTGTAGATGAAATGGTGAAAAGGAAAGGCAAGAATGGAATTTCCTGCTAGTGGGAAGTAGAAGAGAGTATTAAAACTTTTTTCTTTCTAAGTCAAATCAGTGTCATATGCATGAGAAAGCTAGGCAGTATGATGGCATTATCAGCTTGGCTTTCTCCTTAAATGAAATAGGAAGTACCCTGTTTTACTCAGACAGTTTTTTTTTTCTAAAAAGCTAAAATAAGTTAAATATTTTGAAAATAATTAATTTTTGTTCTAAATTAGTCAAATGTTATATTTGTAAAACTAGAGAAATTTGTTCCATTGCTTCTACCAAGCATCTCAGCTTATGTAGTTGGGGCAGCTAGAAATCTAATGAACAGAATGTATATTTTAGGGTTATATAAAGTATTCTGCAACATAAGCTCAAAAATACCCCCAACCCCCTTTTTGATAAAAATAAAGCTTACTACTAATAATAAAATACCGCCAGAGGTGTGCTGGGAGTGGAGGGGGACTGAGTGAAAGAAAGTAGGAATGGGGTAAAGGCTGGGGCAAAGAGCAGACTCTCTCCCTGCAGGAGAGTATCAGGGGCCTGCAGCCAAGTTAAATGACAGCATGACTTCAGGAGGCCAGATTTGAGGGCTTTTATCTAAGATGCAGCATCAGAGTTTGGTTTAAGAGAGTAGGAAGTGATACATCTGTTACCCAAAGGACACTTCTCTTTTTTGAATAAATTACCTGCAGAGTTTAGGCCAAAGAGGTGGGCAAGGTAGATTTGGGAAACTGTTGCTTGCTAATATCACCAAACGCTTTCTTTTTATACTTGGTGGAGGCTTTAATTGGGGCAAGGACATTTTTATACAAAAATAGAGAAAACAATCACCTATGGAATTTGATTCCTTGCTCCATGCCCTCGCTAGCACCTCTCAACATGCTTGATGATATTTAAAATTTCTTCATAGTCATTGGTAGCTTGATGGGGATGGCATTGAATCTGTAAATTACCTTGGGCAGTATGGCCATTTTCACGATATTGATTCTTCCTACCCATGAGCATGGAATGTTCTTCCATTTGTTTGTATCCTCTTTTATTTCATTGAGCAGTGGTTTGTAGTTCTCCTTGAAGAGGTCCTTCACATCCCTTGTAAGTTGGATTCCTAGGTATTTTATTCTCTTTGAAGCAATTGTGAATGGCAGTTCACTCATGATTTGGCTCTCTGTTTGTCTGTTGTTGGTGTATAAGAATGCTTGTGATTTTTGTACATTGATTTTGTATCAGAACTTCCAACACCATGTTGAATAGGAGTGGTGAGAGAGGGCATCCCTGTCTTGTGCCAGTTTTCAAAGGGAATGCTTCCAGTTTTTGCCCATTCAGTATGATATTGGCTGTGGGTTTGTCATAGATAGCTCTTATTATTTTGAAATATGTCCCATCAATACCTAATTTATTGAGAGTTTTTAGCATGAAGCATTGTTGAATTTTGTCAATGGCTTTTTCTGCATCTATTGAGATACTCATGTGGTTTTTGTCTTTGGCTCTGTTTATATGCTGGATTACATTTATTGATTTGCGTATATTGAACCAGCCTTGCATCCCAGGGATGAAGCCCACTTGATCATGGTGGATAAGCTTTTTGATGTGCTGCTGGATTCGTTTTGCCAGTATTTTATTGAGCATTTTTGCATCAATGTTCATCAAGGATATTGGTCTAAAATTCTCTTTTTTTGTTGTGTCTCTGCCTGGCTTTGGTATCAGAATGATGCTGGCTTCATAAAATGAGTTAGGGAGGATTCCCTCTTTTTCTATTGATTGGAATAGTTTCAGAAGGAATGGTACCAGTTCCTCCTTGTACCTCTGGTAGAATTCGTCTGTGAATCCATCTGGTCCTGGACTCTTTTTGGTTGGTAAGCTATTGATTATTGCCACAATTTCAGATCCTGTTATTGGTCTATTCAGAGATTCAACTTCTTCCTGGTTTAGTCTTGGGAGAGTGTATGTGTCGAGGAATTTATCCATTTCTTCTAGATTTTCTAGTTTACTTGCCTAGAGGCGTTTGTAGTATTCTCTGATGGTAGTTTGTATTTCTGTGGGATCAGTGGTGATATCCCCTTTATCATTTTTTATTGCATCTATTTGATTCTTCTCTCTTTTTTTCTTTATTAGTCTTGCTAGTGGTCTATCAATTTTGTTGATCCTTTCAAAAAACCAGCTCCTGGATTCATTAATTTTTTGAAGGGTTTTTTGTGTCTCTATTTCCTTCAGTTCTGCTCTGATTTTAGTTATTTCTTGCCTTCTGCTAGCTTTTGAATGTGTTTGCTCTTGCTTTTCTAGTTCTTTTAATTGTGATGTCAGGGTGTCCATTTTGGATCTTTCCTGCTTTCTCTTGTGGGCATTTAGTGCTATAAATTTCCCTCTACACACTGCTTTGAATGCGTCCCAGAGATTCGGGTATTTTGTGTCTTTGTTCTCGTTGGTTTCAAAGAACATCTTTATTTCTGCATTCATTTCGTTATGTACCCAGTAGTCATTCAAGAGCAGGTTGTTCAGTTTCCATGTAGTTGAGCGGTTTTGAGTGAGATTCTTAATCCTGAGTTCTAGTTTGATTGCACTGTGGTCTGAGAGATAGTTTGTTATAATTTCTGTTCTTTTACATTTGCTGAGGAGAGGTTTACTTCCATATGTGGTCAGTTTTGGAATAGGTGTGGTGTGGTGCTGAAAAAAATGTATATTCTGTTGATTTGGGGTGGAGAGTTCTGTAGATGTCTATTAGGTCTGCTTGGTGCAGAGCTGAGTTCAATTCCTGGGTATCCTTGTTGACTTTCTGTCTTGTTGATCTGTCTAACATTGACAGTGGGGTGTTAAAGTCTCCCGTTATTAATGTATGGGAGTCTAAGTCTCTTTGTAGGTCACTCAGGCCTTGCTTTATGAATCTGGGTGCTCCTGTATTGGGTGCATATATATTTAGGATAGTTAGCTCTTCTTGTTGAATTGATCCCTTTACCATTATGTAATGGCCTTCTTTGTCTCTTTTGATCTTTGTTAGTTTAAAGTCTGTTTTATCAGAGACTAGGATTGCAACCCCTGCCTTTTTTTGTTTTCCATTTGCTTGGTAGATCTTCCTCCATCCTTTTATTTTGAGCCTATGTGTGTCTCTGCACGTGAGTTGGGTTTCCTGAATACAGCACACTGATGGGTCTTGACTCTTTATCCAATTTGCCAGTCTGTGTCTTTTAATTGGAGCATTTAGTCCATTTACATTTAAAGTTAATATTGTTATGTGTGAATTTAATCCTGTCATTATGATGTTAGCTTGTTATTTTGCTCGTTAGTTGATGCAGTTTCTTCCTAGTCTGGATGGTCTTTACATTTTGGCTTGATTTTGCAGCGGCTGGTACTGGTTGTTGCTTTCCATATTTAGCACTTCCTTCAGGAGCTCTTTTAGGGCAGGCCTGGTGGTGACAAAATCTGTCAGCATTTGCTTGTCTGTAAAGGATTTTATTTCTCCTTCACTTATGAAGCTTAGTTTGGCTGGATATGAAATTCTGGGTTGAAAATTCTTTTCTTTAAGAATGTTGAATATTGGCCCCCACTCTCTTCTGGCTTGTAGGGTTTCTGCCAAGAGATCCGCTGTTAGTCTGATGGGCTTCCCTTTGAGGGTAACCCGACCTTTCTCTCTGGCTGCCCTTAACGCTTTTTCCTTCATTTCAACTTTGGTGAATCTGACAATTATGTGTCTTGGAGTTGCTCTTCTCGAGGAGTATCTTTGTGGCGTTCTCTGTATTTCCTGAATCTGAATGTTGGCCTGCCTTGCTAGATTGGGGAAGTTCTCCTGGATAATATCCTGCAGCGTGTTTTCCAACTTGGTTCCATTCTGCCCATCACTTGCCCATCTACACCAATCAGACGTAGATTTGGTCTTTTCACATAGTCCCATATTTCTTGGAGGCTTTGCTCATTTCTTTTTATTCTTTTTTCTCTAAACTTCCCTTCTTGCTTCATTTCATTCATTTCATCTTCCATTGCTGATACTCTTTTTTCCAGTTGATCGCATCGGCTCCTGAGGCTTCTGCATTCTTCACATAGTTCTCAAGCCTTTCAACTTCTTTGCCTTTGGTTTGAATGTCCTCCCTTAGCTCAGAGTAATTTGATCGTCTGAAGCCTTCTTCTCTCAGCTCGTCAAAGTCATTCTCCATCCAGCTTTGTTCCATTGCTGGTGAGGAACTGAATTCCTTTGGAGAAGGAGAGGCGCTCTTCTTTTAGAGTTTCCAGTTTTTCTGTTCTGTTTTTTCCCCATCTTTGTGGTTTTATCTACTTTTGGTCTTTGATGATGGTGATGTACAGATGGGTTTTTGGTGTGAATGTCCTTTCTGTTTGTTAATTTTCCTTCTAACAGACAGGACCCTCAGCTGCAGGTCTGTTGGAATACCCTGCCATGTGAGGTGTCGGTGTGCCCCTGCTGGGGGGTGCCTCCCAGTTAGGCTGCTCACGGGTCAGGGGTCAGGGGCCCACTTGAGGAGGCAGTCTGCACATTCTCAGATCTCCAGCTGCGTGCTGAGAGAACCACTGCTCTCTTCAAAGCTGTCATACAGGGACATTATGTAGAACAGTTTCATTGCCCTAAAAATCTCCTGTGCTCCACTGAGTCATTCCTCCCCCTCCTCTTCCTTCTAAACCCCCGGTCATTACTGATCTTTTTACTCTCTAATTTTGCCTCTCCCTGAATGTCATATAATATCATGTAGTATGTATCCTTTTCAGACTGGCTTCTTTCACCCAGCAGTATACATTTAGGGTTCTTCTGTGTTTTTTCATGGCTTGATAGCTCACTTTTTAAATTGCTGAATAATATTCCATTTGTTTGCATGTATTGCAGTTTTTTTAATCCATTCTTGAATTATCCATCTCTAATTGGGTTGTTTTGTTTTTTTATTACTGAATTGTAATTGTTCCTTATGTATGCCAGACACAAATCCCTTGTGTTCTTCAGGGTTGCAGGATACAAGATCAATATACAAAAATCAATAGTATTTGACACACTTTAACTGAGTACTACATACTCACAATGAGCAATCAGAAAATGAAATTAAGAAAGCAACTTCATTTATCATAGCATCAACAAGAATAAAATACTAATAAATTTAAGAAGTGTAAAACTTGTACTCTGAAAACCATAAAACATAGTTGAAAGAAATGAAAGAAGATCGAAATAAATGTAAAAGTATCCCATGATCATGGACCGAAGGCTTAACATTGTTAAGATGGCAGTCCTCCCTAAACTCGTCTACAGATTTAACTTCATTCCTGTCAGAATCCCAGATGAGTTCTCTGTAAAATCGACAAGCTGACTCTCAAATTCATATGGAATTGCAAAGGACTAAGAATAGCCAAAATAATCTTTTGAAAATGAGAAACAAAGTAGGAGAACTCATACTTACCGACTTTAAAACTTACTACAAGACAATGGTAATAAGGACAATATAATACTGGCAGAAGTATAGATGTATAGACGAGTGGGATAGAATTGAGAGTCAGATATGAACCCATACATACATAAACACTGATTTTTGACAAGGGTGCCAAGATTATTCAGTGGGGAAAGATGTTTGAAAACTGGCACAGGGACTACTAGATATGTAAACATATGCAAAACCTGAAATAGTACCTTTACCCAACACCATATACAAAAACTGTGGATGCAAAAACAATGGATCAAATGGACCCATTTTGAGCTAATCCACATAAACATAAGGACTAAAACTATAAAATCCTGAGAAGCAAACATAGGAGTAAATTGTCATGACCTTGAATTTGGCAGTTTTCTTAAATATGAGACCAGCAACAAGAATAAAAATTGATGAATTGGACTTCATCAAAATTAAACATTTTTGCACTTCAGAGGACACCATCAAGAAAGTGAAAAGACAACTCACAAGATGGAAGAAAATACTTGCAAATCATGTGTAGCACTTTTTGATGGTAAACTTGAGGAAGACTTTATTTTTTATTTTTATTATACTTTAAGTTCTAGCATACATGTGTACAATGTGCAGGTTTGTTACATATGTATACCTGTGTCATGTTGGTGTGCTGCACCCATTAACTCATCATTTACATTAGGTATATCTCCTAATGCTATCCCTCCCACCTCCCCCCACCCCATGACAGGCCCCGGTGTGTGATGTTCCCCATCCTGTGTCCAAGTGTTCTCGTTGTTCAATTTCCACCTATGAGTGAGAACATGTGGTGTTTGGTTTTGTCATTGCAATAGTTTGCTCAGAATGATGGTTTCCATATATATATATATATATATATATATATATATATATATATATATGTCAGTTGCCAGGACTACTGGGCAAGCCTGGGAAAGAGAGTACCTGGGGAAAGCAGCCTCCTGCTCCCCCGTGCCTTCTTTGAGCCTGATGTTCATTTGATGTGGTACTATATAATCACATCCAGTTTACCCTTTGAAATTCCTTGATTGTTCTTTTCTATATCCTTGACACTGTCCTTTTACAGACCATATGATCTTATCTGGAATACTACAACAGTTTTCTTTTCTCAGTGCTTTTAGAATAACCTGTCAAAAACTAATCTGACTATAGTAGTACCTGCTTACAACCTTTTAATTACTCCCCATTTCCTACCAGGCTGTGTAGCTCACTTGAGCTCTGCTAGGTGGTGAGGGAATCTGGGTCCTTTTTCTGGTATTTGAATTCAGTGCTACATAGGTTACTGGCTGGGTTGACAATCTCAAATTGTAAATCATGAGTATTCTATGTAGATAGTCTGTCACGATTTACAATAAAACATTGACATGTCAAAGGCCATTCCAGCCTGGGCGACAGAGCGAGACTCCGTGCCCCCCCACCAAAAAAAAAAAAAAAAAAAACACTTTCCCCAGAATGCTAGCCTGATGGGAACTCCACCCCATCCATTCCAACCTAGTAAGGATAGTTTAGTTTGTCTTTTCTGGTCCCACTTCCTTACATCTAGTGTTCTTTTTTTGTTTCTGTTATTAAATTTCAGAAGACAAACCTTAGCATTTTCTAAAAGAAATTATTTTTACCTAAATACATTGGACTTTGGTCTTAATTTGAAGGAATAGGATAAGTGGCCTTTAAGAGAGCGTTCCTACTCCTTCTCTTCCAGTGGCTGCTCTGGGTCCCTGAAAGAGGGTGTGATGTGAACCATCTGGGTTGTGAAGTGGATTTTGTTGAGCCTGTGTTTTTTAAGTCCATTAGTCCTGCCCGAGGCTGTGTGCCCTGGAATCCTTGGCTTCACCTCTGAACCACCTTCAGCCAAGTGGTGATGGTGAAGAGGGTCCCCCGATCTTCCAGGACTTGTGAGAGTTTGTAGGTGATGAAATGGAGGGGGCACCTTTTAAATCTTCCAGTACCCATCCCCGCTGCTGGCGGTGCTCTCCCCGTCGTCCTTGTCCAGGACTCCCACCAGGGTCTCGATCTCTTCTGTGATGCTCTGACTCACATACTGGGAGGCCCTTTTCCCAATGTAGTCCCTGATGTCCACATCGGCGTCCTAGGTCCCCACTAGCAGCTTCACCATCTCCAAGGTACATGGCTGCCAAGTTCAGGGCGGTGTAGCCCTGGCCTTGCTGTTCCCAGGCAAGCGGAGGCTCATTGGGGAAGTTGACCAGCATGGCCAGAAGCTCCAGCCTGCGGTGCTAGGCGCCTGCGCAGGCAGGTGAGGCGGTGATGAAGCTCAGCGTGGCCAGCAGACCGGCTGGCACGGGGGCAACCTCCTAAGCTGTCCACTCCCCATCGGAGGCCGAGAGCAGCCAGCCGTGCTCCCTGGTCCAGCTCACCCAGCCCCGCAGCTCTCCTCCTCCACGGACGGGAAAGCCTGCGCTGCGCCACCAGAGTCACTCGCCTCCGCCCTGTCCTCAGAGGAGTAGCTCCCAGGCTGCTGCCTCCAGGACACAGGTTCCTCTTCAGGGGTGGGGCGCTGCCCCTTCCCAAGTGGCTCAATTTCTGGCGGAACGGCCTCGGGGCGGTAGCCCCCCAGGAGCTGCCCCTGTCAGCCTCCTGGCAGCCGTGGGGCGGGGGCTCCAGGTCCTCTCTGGTCCCAGGTCCCGCGTCTGGGGTAGGGGCTGGTGGAGCCGGCGAGCTCTTCTTGCGTCCCCGCCGCTCAGGGCGGCCCGTGCAGGGCCTGGGCTCCCCCTCGCCCAGCTCGGCCCTGCCTGTGGAGCACCTCGGGGACCGCTGTTTCAGGGAGCGGATGGTGAATGCTGCGCTCCGCGTTCACGTGGATGCGGGACAGGTCCCAGGGGCGCGGCCTCAGGTGGAGGCCCCGCCAGAACCTCTTCCTGAGACGCAGGTACTGGGCGCCATCATCGGCTGGGTCGGTGCAGTGGCCACAGCGTTCACCTGGAGATACATTTAAACAGTTTTATTCTCCTGTTTTTGTTTTTTTTTTTTCATTCCAGAAACCACTACTACTATGCAACAAAGTAAAAATATCTAGTTTAAATAATAATTTGATACGGTCAGATGGGGATGAGTGCACACGTGTGTGTACACACACACGCAGGCTATAAATGGTATATTTTGGCGGAGCAGAGGGATAAGGCTTTAATTTCATTGGTGTGTTGAGTTAGAATCGCCCTTCTCACAATTAAATAATTTAAATCAGGAGTTTTGTTAAAGCTAATTTGTACAACTAGGCAACATCTTTTCTCCATATATTTATACACATATACACATCTCTAATATTTGCATTTATTACTTCATCTAAAAGAGCTTGGAAAAAGGGTCCTAAGTCTTGGCTAGTTAAGGTAAAAATCTATATTTTAAAGTAATAAAAACATTTGCTATGGACAGAGACATGCAGACACTGTGGGTGAAGCTGATTGATGTTCCATTGAATGAAATGACATGGGGTTTTCTAAGGGAAAGCCCAGCATGCTGCAAGGAGAGGGGAGGTCCCGGGAGGGAATTGGAGTCAGCATTAGGATCTAAGTGTCACAGGGGAGTGTGTTCCCAAAAAAGACTGTGACTGTTTCTGTGTCCATCCTGAACTGGTTACCATGAGTGTACGTGTGTGTGTGTGTGTGTGTGTGTGTGTGTGTGTGTGTGTGTGAATTAAAAGAGGAGTTACATGCTGGGGCATTTCTGGTATCTCAACTCTCATCTCAGCTGTTGGTGTTGATGGCTATACATTTTCCTCAGTATTCAACGGTGCGCATTTTGAGTTAACAATCCACCCATTGGCTGAGGCAGGTGGATCATCTGAGGTGAAGAGTTCGAGACCAGCCTGGCCAATATGTGAAACTCTGTCTCTACTAAAAATACAAAAATTAGCCAGGCGTGGTTGCAGCACCTGTAATCCCAGCTACTCGGGAGGCCAAGACAGGAGAGTGGCTTGTATCTAGGAGACAGAAGTTGCAGTGAGCTGAGATGGGCCACTGCACTCCAGCTTGGACAGCAGAGTGAGACTTGGTCTCAAAAAAAAAAAAAAAGTTATTGTGACATGCTGTACACATTCACAAATTCAGTGTCTCCCAGAAGTCTGAGATTCTTTTTTTTTTTTTTTTTTTTTTTTGAGACGGAATTTCACTGTTGTTGCCCAGGCTGGAGTGCAATGGTGTGATCTCGGCTGATTACAACCCCCACTTCGTGGGTTCAAGCGATTCTCCTGCCTCAGCCCAAGTAGCTCCTGCCTCCCAAGTAGCTGGGATTACAGGCATGTGCCATCATGCCCAGCTATTTTTTATTTTTATTTTTAGTAGAGTTGGGGTTTCTCCATGTTGGTCAGGCTGGTCTCGAACTCCCGACCTCAGGTGATCCACCCGCCTCGGCCTCTCGAAGTGCTGGGATTACAGCCATGAGCCACCATGCCCAGCCAGAAAGTTTTAAGGCTATGATTATTAGACCATCATACACACAAAAAGTACTTAAAAAGTCTCAGGAATGCAGTCCCTCATTGGCCTGGTATGACAAAGATAAAAAGAAGTTGGTCGTGAAAATTTCTGAATGTGGTTTAGGACAAGGAACCCCAGTAAGATTCAGAGACAACCTAGAAAGTTGAAAGACAATTTTACTACCCAAATCACCCTTCTATAAAAAATAATAGAAGATGTCAAATATGAAAATAAAACTGTCCTCTGAGCCCTCAATTTTCTGTGTTATTGGGAAGGCAGACAGCTACTCAGCAGTTATATCCCATAAGAATGGATAACACTAAAACAACTGACAGCATCAAGTGTTGGTTAGAAAGTGGAACTGATTCTCTCAAACATTTTCATTGTAGTTTAAGATGGCACAACCACTTAGGAAAATGTCTCCCCATTTCATACAATGCCAAATATATACTTATTTTATAACCCAGAAAATCCACTGTTATGTACTTAAACTCAAGAAATGTGAAAATATTATTACAGAAAAACGTGTATATCTGATTTGTTCGTAGCAGGTTTATTCATGATAGCCTCAAATCAGAAACTGATTTTGTGTCTATCAATAGTGGAATGGATTAAAAACAAAACAAGCAAAGGCCTCAAACCTGTGGTATAGTCATAAAATTGAGTATTATAAAATAAAATTAATGAATAATCAATAGGAGCAACATGATAAGTGTCACAAACATGTTTAGTGAATGAACATAAAAATTATATAATTTATAGTTTCACTTACGTAAATGGTGAAAACAGACAAAACTAACCTTTTGTGGAAAGAATCAAAACCATGGAAGCCTCTGTGTTCAAATAGTGACTGGAAATGGGCATGAGAAAAAGTGTTTCTGCCAGATCTTCTATATGCCTGATGTACATTCACTCGATGTATTTTGCATATACTATTTTTGCAAATAAAACTGAGATAGAGGCAAAATAACTCAAGAGAAAATAGCTAGAAATAGGTAGAGTTGGGATAGAAGCCTTGGAAGCTCCCCCCTACCTTGCCCACCTGACACAGCCGGAGGAAGTCCTGGGACAATGCTGTGAGCGACCTGAGGGCTGTCCAGGGGAGCCCCGCCAGCCCATGCTGGTGCCCGAGCTGCCCGCCGCCATCTGAATATGTTGCAAAGGCAGTGCTGGCCTGGCAACCGGTGACGCTCCATGCCCCACCCCGACCCCCACTTCTATCCAAATAGCGGCAACCCTAGAGGCAGATGCCTGGGCGGCAGCGGCTAAGTCTGGCAGTTGGCCAGGCGGCCAAAGGACGGGAACTGGCCGTTCACCCCATCCCAGTTTCCACGGAGAACTCAACCACCATGGCCCCTGAGAGGACCCTCAGGCCTGGTGGGCTGTGCTCTGTGCCTGCAAACCTGACCTGACGCCATCCAGGGGAGCTCCGCCTTCCCACGCCAGCGCCTCAGCTGCTGCAGAAAACTGCAAAACTGCAAGTTGCACACGGGCAGAGATGACGGAGCAACCCCTGACCCTCCGTGCCACTCACCCTACCCGCACACACACCTGCCACGCGGATCCTGAGGCCGGTGCCTGGGCGCCCAAGTCAGGCAGTCCGCACAGCAGCGGCACCAGGGTGAAAACCTGCTGCTCGATACCATCCCGGTTACCATGAAGAGCCAGCCCCGGCGGCCCCTGCGTTCTTGGAAGGCCAAGTCATTGCAACCCCTCAAGTGGGCGGGCGATGCACTTGACCCTGAGGACATCAGGTACCAGGCCCGCCAGCTCAGGCCGGCATCGGAGCTGCAGCTGCAGTCTAGATGTGGTGCACCGGCAGCAAGTGACTGGACACCCCAGACCAGGCCCGCCCCCCAGTAGCGCGGATACTGAGGCCAGACCCCCAGGCGGCAAAATCAGGCGACGGGCCCCGCCAGCAGCCGCTCAGTTTCATCCGTGTGGATACAGAGTGCCCAGTGCCAGGGCCCAGGATCCAGAGAGATGTACAAGAGGAGCGGACCTTGAGCCCAGGTGGGCTGTGCGCTCTGCGACCCTGAGGCCATCTAAGGGAAGCTCCGCCATCCAGCGCCAGTGCCAGATCTGCAGCTGCAAACTGTGCGTGGGGCACTGGCAGCAGTGAGGGCGAGTGGGGGAAGGAGCAGCCCCTGACTCTGCCTCCATGCTTCTCCAGCTACCTGATACTAGCCACACAGACTCCAGGGCCAGAGCCTCAGCGTGAAGCCGGGCCATCCGCGAAGCCACCCAGGTGGCCGCGGAGTGCTCTTGCCAGCACCCTATCTCCCTTCCGAGGAGGAGCGGGGTGGGCTGCAAGGCCAGACAGGCTCTCCTTCTCAGGCCGGGCTGGCGGCGCTCCTGAGATCCTGGGGCCGCCCGGGCGATCCCAAGAGGACCTGCGAGCCCATTTGCGCCCGCCCAGAGCTGCAGCCCCACCTGCCGGCGCGCGCCTCCAGGGAGCGGCTTCCGGGAGCCGGGCAGCAACCGCCGTGCAGGCGCGCGCCCAACGGCTTTTCAAGTCTCACTCGGTCTGAGAGGTCGGAGGCTGCGAGTGTCGCTGCTGAAGGCTGTGGTGGACCGGGCTGGATCGCGGATTGTGGAGTAGATCATAGATTTGGGATCGCGGATTGGGGGTTGAATCGCGGATTTGGGGTTGGATCAGGGATTTGGGGTTGGATAGGGGATTTGGGGCTGGGTCGGCCGGGGTCGGGGGAGGGGGTTGGTGAAAAGGTGACAGGGAGCTGCCCCCGCTCAAGAGCCAGAGGTTGGGGGTCTGAGAAGTCACCACTATGAAGTTATTCGCCTTCGGGAGCCGCAGGGGCCAGACGGCCCAGGGCTCTATAGAACATGTCTACACGGGTTCCGGATACCGAATCCGGGACTCCGAACTGCAGAAGATCCACAGGGCAGCTGTCAAGGGCGACGCCGCGGGGGTGGAGCGCTGCCTGGCGCGCAGGAGCGGAGACCTGGACGCCCTGGACAAGCAGCACAGGTAGCGGGGGCTCAGCCCGTGATGGGATGGGGTCCCCAGGCCCGGCTTCCCCGCAGCCCCTGGGATGGGGCCTTGCAGGGCACCGGGCACCCTCGGAGCGGCGGAGCCAAAAGGACTCTCAGCTGTTTTCCATCCCTCATAATTCCCTGGCTGGAGCAGTTGGAGAATTTGAGTGATTTAACTCACAAAGTTAAGCATACACAGTGTTGTTATTTTTAACGTACACGTTTAAAACATGGTTTATATACATTATAGGAGGTGCCTAATGAGAGAACTCATTCCCCTATCAAAAATACCGTAGTAGGCGAAAAGTTCTCAGATAAGAGAGCTTACTTGAAAAATATTTACTATACTATATATATATTTTTTCAGATGAAAAGTATGTTTTTATTTTATAGGGAATTCATTACATTCTTTTTTTTTTTTTTTTTTTTTTGAGTCGGAGTCTCGCTTCTTTGCCCAGGCTGGTGTCCAATGGCACAATCTTGGCTCACTGCAACCTCTGCCTGCTGGGTTCAAGCAATTCTCCTACCTCAGCCTCCCAAGTAGCTGGGATTACAGGCAGGTGCCAGCGTGCCTGGCTAATTTTTGTATATTTAGTAGAGAGGGGGTTTCACCACGTTGGCCGTGCTTGTCTCGAACTCCAGACCTCAAGTGATCTTCCCTCCTCCGCCTCCCAAAGTGCTGGGATTACAGGTGTGAGCCACCGCGCCCAGCCTATGTTGCTTATTATATATCATTTTATATATATATGTATGTATATATGACTGATACTTATACGTATATACCAGATATAATATGTCATATATATCAGTTATATATACACATTAGATGAAAAGTACATTTTCATTTGACAGGAAATTCTTTCAAATCAAATCATCAAACACTCTAAAATTGGGCAAAGTACTTTTTTCCAGATCTGCAAGTTACTTGTGTACATAGGAAAAAGTCCTTCGCATTTCTGGTATAAGAATTTAAATTAAAAGAGGAATGAAACAGTTTTCTATCCACAATATTTGTGAGGATGTTTTATACTCCTGCTTAAAGTTTAAGTTGCTGATTATTTTTCAAATAGATAATTTGGTGGTAAGTAGTACATTTAAAAAACATGTATGCCCTTTACCCATCAATTCCATTATACTAAAACACCCTTAGGAAATAAAGATACATGCACTTTATTTTTCACAGCACTTATTTTAAAAAGAACCCATAGAATGGATCCTATAAATAAATTTCAGTTGCATCCACAGGATAGAATAATGTGTGACCATTGAAGGTGGCAATAGATACAGAAGTATATTGATGTGTGAAGATGTATTTTGTTATAGCTAGTGAGGAAAAAAATCAATAAAGTTATACATACAAACATACTATGGTCTTGTTTTAGCAAAAAATATGTACAAAATATAAAATTTGTAATTTCTGAGCATTTGTATTTTAAGTAAAGTTCTTTTCCTTTTTCTTATCTGTGATTGCTGCAGTGAGCATGTACAAAACTTCTAGTAAAGTTTATTAGTAAAGGAATAATCCTTGGGAAGAGGGGAATATGAATCTTACAATATTAAAAATAATTTCTCGCTTTCTATTTTTTATCATTATTGAGTGTATTGTTATCTTCTTTGAACTTTTAGCCTCTTCAGAAGTAAAAAGGGAATGTTTTTATCTGTTTCCAGATTTTATTATCTATATATTTTATTATGTACATACGTTTTTCTTATGTATTCATTCAATTTATGCAAACAATGATAGATTAATCATTTCATTTTAATTGTATTCTTTAAAAATAAAAATAACATATGAATAATTACTATTGCAAAAATATTGCTTTATAGGAGGTTATTTAAAAATATTGAACTTCCCAACTGTATTTATCCATTCTTTCATTCCATTTATTCATCAAACATAACCTGAGTACCTGTTATGTAGCAGACATATTCTGCTATCTCTCAGGACCCTTCTATCCTTAAAAACTTCGTGTTTACCTGCCCTGCCTGCACAAGCTGAGAGATTTAAAATAGGAATATTGGGACTTAATCTCCTTGAAAGTTTGTCTCCCAACTTTCAAACAAAAGCATTTCTGAAGTTAGAAAATAGTAGAAGATAACCTTTAACTGCCATTCAAAAGTTTATCAGTCTTAAATGCTAATATTAATCATTGGAAGGTCTTATTTGCATATATTCTGTAAGCATAAATATTGAATAAAATGAGCCATATGTATTCACTTGAATCATGAGTTTCCTTTGTCAATTTGTTTGAAAATCAAAGAATTAATTTGTTTAAAAAATGCATTATTATAATTTCAGTGTTCTATCCCCATAGTACCTTTAAGAACTAAAATGTATTTATGTACCAGTTATATGCCTAGAACTGCCCTAGACCTGTTTAGTACACCATATTCTACTTAATGTAAGGTCTCATGGATTGTGAGATGCCCCACTATTTTATATATAGATAAGATAATTTTTTAAATGCTACCAATTATAGTTATATAAGTGACATTCCAATGTCAGAAGTGTTCAAATGTGACCTACTCTTTAAGCCATCCTGCAAAGTAGGTATAATTGTGTCTTTTACCTAATTAAAATGTTTTTGTTAAGTAGTAGTAATAGTAACAATTATAATATCTGGCTGGGTGCAGTGGCTTACACCTGTAATCCCAGAACTTTGGGAGACTGAGGTGAGAGGATTGCTTGATGCCAGGAGTTTGAGACCATCCTGGGCAACGAAGTGAGATTCTTACTCTACAAAAATTTTTAAATAAATAGCTGGGCATGCTGATTCACATCTGTAGTCCCAGCTACTCAGGAGGCTGGGGATGGAGGATCGCTTGAGCCCAGGAGTTCCAGGCTGCAGTGAGCTATAGTTACATCCAGCCTGGGCAAAAAAGTGAGACATTGTCTGAAAAAACAAAAATCTTACAACTATTGAGTTGTTGTAGGAACTATTCTAAATACATAGCTTCTCATTTAAGCATCACGGTGGGGTTCTGTGAGATAGCTACTATTGTCATCTTTATTAATGAGGAAGTTGAGACACAGAAAGGCTAAGCAATAGTTGGTAAGAGACAGGGTTTAAAGTAGGACTCAAGCCCTAGTTGAACTGAATCCAAAGACTGAGCTCTTTCTATTCAAATAGGCTACTGTTTTTATTAAGGCACTGAGCAATAAGAGCTAGTAAGTATTGTGCTTTCTTCAAAAAAATTAAGTATTTGTTTTGAAGGCAGAGGAAAAACATGCTCTTCAATTTTTATAGTTACATGAATGATTGTATGTTTTGAGATGTTGCACTACAGTTTCCTAAAAAGTCCTCTTACTCTCGTAGAACTGCTCTACATTTGGCCTGTGCCAGTGGCCATGTGAAAGTGGTCACTCTCCTGGTTAGCAGAAAATGCCAGATTGATATCTGTGACAAAGAAAATAGAATGCTTTTGATACAGGTATATTAGAGCCAACTCTTTTAGCATGACATGGATTTGATTTGCATACATAGAATTGAAATAAATTGATCTCATTTAAATACAACTAGTTGGTGAAACCTGTGGAATGTTTATTTTGAATTTCTTAGAATTTACAATCTATTTCTTGGTCTAATACGGACAGGCTGTCCATTGCCAGGAAGAGGCTTGCGCCGTTATTCTGCTGGAACATGGCACCAATCCAAACCTTAAGGATATCTACCGCAACACTGCTCTCCAGTATGCTGTGTATAGTGAGAGCACCTCACTGGCAGAAAAACTGCTTTTCCATGGTGCAAATATTGAAGCACTGGACAAGGTATAGATCAATCAACTTTCTTTCCAAAATATTTGTTTTAACATTGACATAGGTAAGGGTCAATTTTTTATATTTGGAAGCTCAACCATTCCCTGAATATTTGTGAATATGTTAAAGGTAAAACCTTTTCAATTTTTTTTTCTATGCAGGGTTATTCTTTCCTTTTTTTCCCCTCGAATTGGTGTAAAACAACACAGGAAAGAAAACATGCCCTGGAACTAGGCTTTATCTTAAAACTCAAACAAAACTAAAGCAACTTACAATAAATGGACATGTTGCTGCTGCTGATAATTTTCTGAAAAACTGATGTATCATCTCTCAGTGGCACAAGCCTTAAGAGGGAAAAATGGGTAGGGAAAAGGAGAGCAATGAGAAATATGTAGGTCACTTGGAAATTAGGTAATGAGGGAAAACGACAAGAAGAGTTTTTTTTGTTTTTTTTTTTTTAGTTTGTTGTTCTTCCAGTTTATGTGTTGAGATAAGGTGCTCTTTAGCTTTGGGTCTAATAATTTTTGGTTTGAAAAAGAATGAGTTGAAACTTGCCTAGAGATTAATTTCAGGAAGACTCTGAGGGAACCAGTTTGGCAGTGAATAGGTGGTGATGAAGTGAGAAAAACTTCAGCAGAAGGTAGGACAAATTATTAACTGACTTATTGCCCATTCTGGCAGAAACAGCCACTTAGATAAGAGTCTAAAGCCTCCTCTCAAACCTAGAATGTCTTGGTGGGAAGGTGGGAGATAAGGAGCTTGTAAATAGCAAAATCAAGTGGGATTTTGAGTTTATTTGTCTGTGTTCTACCCATACCCAGGAAACTTAATTGGAATTTTAATAAATGACACTATCTCTTACTCTTTTCTCTTTTTGGCCACATGTCCAACTGATAAAGGGAATTAGCCATGCGGGTGAGAGATGAGACTGAAGTGATTGCTGCACCAATTCTCAGAATTGTGCATTACAGTGACCTGATGACATTTTGTTAAAAATCTACAATTGTAGGCTTTCCCCTGAGGATTTTGATGTAATAGACCTAATAAGGCCTGAACATTTTAAAAAATGTTTTCTTGAAGCTGGGCACAGTGACATGTTCCTGTAGTCCCAGCTTGAGCCTGAGTTTAAGTTCAGCTTGAGCAACATAATGAGACTCTTGCCTCTAACAACAATAACAGCAAAAAAAAAAAAAAAAAAAAAAAAAAAAAAAAAAAAAAAAAACCCTCAAGTTTCGGATACAGTCCTGATTAAGAACCCCAGAATAGATAAGTGCAACATATGAATTTCTGTATCTCAAAAACGTAAGAAATCTCTAGAAGAATTGGCATTCGATAGGTGCTACTTCCTTCAAAGTTCTCCTTTTCAGTAATATTAGCCTGACTTATCTGTCTTTCTCTACATCTGTGACTGGGAAGTGAAAGGAAATATTACTGGCAATATCTCTCAGTTTACAGAATAGCACCTTTTCCTTCCCACCATGAATCCTTCACTAACATTCAGAGAGTCTTTAGAAATTTGCTTATGGGTAATCATTCAATAAGCAGAGGCTGGCTCTTTCATGATTTGATGTCCCTTTGTCACCATGCACGTGATTATGTGTCAACAAATGTTCATTACAATTTGGGCTTTCTCAATTAGAATAGTAGCAAATCCTAAACTATTCGTTTAGTTGAAGTTTTATTATGAACTAGCTCAGTATGTTTGTTAAGTTTATAGAGCTTTAGCATACCCAAAATGTCAGTTTTAAACATTGAAGTCCATGGAGTTAATAAAAATACAGATATGAATTCTTTTAATAATTTAGTTTTAACAGTCCTATGAACCAATTATCTATTTGGTTAACAATCTGGGAAAATTATATACAAATATATTTTAAATGAATAAATGTTGGAAAAATTTTTTAAGTAGGTATTATGAGTCTTTTTTGGCAATTTTTATTATATATGAGAGCCTGATTTTTTGGTAAAACATATGATACTAGAGAAAGAAAGTATTTTACATGCAAATACTTGGATTATACACAACCATTTAGTAACACATTAATAGTGAATATAAAAACACAAGGGCTATATTCTAATGTGGTACACAGATTTGTTTGTTTTCCTCTATAAGTTGAATCAGCATGTAAAATTTAGAAGACTGGTGTAGATATCTGGACTTCAGGCTTATTCTAAAAAATCAAATCTGGTGTCCCCTGAGTTTCTATCACTGTTTGGTCTGCTGTGCAGAGGTTGCCCCTTTAGAGAAGGCATGTATTCTCCAGTTTGCTACTGTGCCCACCTTAGTACTTCCTTTACTCAGGCAACCTTCCTTTGTCCTTGTAAGTATCTGAGTTTACAACTCCTATGTTATAGTATATTTTGATAAAGATTTCAAGGTTTTTAAGTCAGCATGTATTTGTTATAATATATAGTCTATAGAGTATGTAAATCCCTCAGTTATGGAGTTGAATTTTAGAATTTAGAAGTTTTTGAAACTCTTTTCTTTATATATACCACAAATAATTATCTGCCCATAAGAATGTCTAGAAGCCTTTTTAGGTTATTCCTGGTTATAGTTGGATAATTTATGAATATTGCAGACATTACATCTTTCTCATCAGTGCTCTTCCTTAGAAATGCCAGTGACTTACTGGCTTTTATTATGCCAGAAATAATTCATATGGATCAGTATGAGAACTTTTATTGATAAGCCATTATGTTTTTATTTCTGATTTATATTTTGTCTAAAATAAAAAATAATTTTAAGTAGCCCTTTAAGTGGAAGCCAATAAAAATGGATTTAAAAGGTAGAGCTGCCCTGGGGTCCTGGGATTACCATTAAAATTGAGAATAGTATTTCTTACTGAGCTTTGGTTTTTTAAATATTTGTTCTTAAGTTTTTTAAACCTATTTCTCTTACACAGAACATACTGAGCTTTCTAACAGTAAAGATAAAAATCTATTCTCTTGTATTAGGGAAAAAACCCATGGACTATTTAATAATAAGGAAAATAAGTGCATTTGAAGCCAATCTCTCTTAATTCAGAGCTCATTTCCATAGTGACCCATTTGGAGCAGGAGTGCCTGACATTGTCATCTGGGATCCTGACAGCATTGATAGAAGTGAATCAAGCAAGTTTGTACCACCCAGAAGAAACCTCCACCGGCATTGGGAAGCTCTGGCAACTGTACCCCTAAAACTCTTAATTCCTCAAATGTTAATGTTTGCCACAAATAGTACTGTGAAATGGGGATTAGGTAAAATTCAAGAGATTTCTTGATTATTGGACATAACATACAGTTTTATAATACTTCTCAAATGCAGATGGTCATGGAGTCTTTCTCTTTGGGTATAATACTTCTGGTAAAGCAAATATTCTTTGGAATATAGTTTAAGAAACACTGCTTTAGTGAGAATAATTTAGATCATTAATTTATGTAAAAAACTTAAAATGTTTGCTACTATGTCTTCGGGTTTTGGAGCTATAGAGACAAAAGATACAGCCCTTGCCTCAAGAAGCTCTTGGTTTCAGTGGGAAACAGTGAAATGATTACAATGTACCATGCTAAGTGCTGTGATCAAAGCAAGGATTCTTGGGACTAGTAAACGTTTAAAGTGAGTTTTGGCAATGACCACAGTTAATCCGGGGAGACAGAGGAGGGTTGTTGCAAGGCAAAGCGCAGCACATCAGAAAGCACAGAGGAGTGAGAAGGAAGGGACTGCTTTTCATTTACTTCCTTTCTATATTGTATGTTGAAGTTCAAAGCATCCCAGAGAAGATTTTCAGTTTAGTTGAGAAATATGTAATTTTGTGAATTATTAATTTTTTTCTGCTGTTTCATAGGACAATAATACCCCACTTTTATTTGTCATAATTTGCAAGAAAGAGAAAATGGTGGAACTTTTATTGAAAACCAAAGCAAGTACACATGCTGTTGATAGGCTGAGACAGTACAGTTGTTCTTTTTTTAAAAATAAAACCTGAGTATTCTAGAGTGGTAACAGTCACTCAAGTCAGAAATATTAATAAGAAGATTAACATAATTATTGGCATATAATGAAAAATATCACCATGAATAATCAGGTAGACCAGCAAATATTTGGACTGAGTAACATAAAGAATAGTATATAGTAGGATTCATCTTCTCTTATAATATAGAGTGTTTGGTATTTATAATCAGATGCTTTTGATACTGTAATCTTTTATTAGCTAAAGCGTTTTGTATTAGCTTTATTAATTTTTTTGTTTTTGAGATAGAGTCTCGCTCTGTTACCAGGCTGGAGTGAGGTGGTGTGATCTCGGCTCACTGCATCCTCCACCTCCCAGGTTCAAGCGATTCTCCTGCCTCAGCCTCCCAAGTAGCTGGGACTACAGGTGCACGCCACCATGCCCAGCTAATTTTTGTATTTTTAGTAGAGATGGGATTTCACCATGTTGGCCAGGATGGTCTCGATTTCTTAACCTCGTGATCTGCTCTCCTTGGCTTCCCAAAGTGCTGGTATTACAGGCATGAGCCACTGCACCTGACCAGTTTTATTAATTTTTAAAGTGTGGACTTTTAGTTTATGACTACTAGTATTGTCATTATTATTATTATTATTGTCATTGTTGTTGTTGTTGTTTTCAGCCTGCAGATAACTCTTATCTGACCCCTAGCTGATTTAACTAGGAAAGCAATGGGGGAATCTTCATCTAAATCTTTGCCTACTTTAGATAAGTGACCTCAGCACAGTTTCTTGGCCATCAAAGGACTATAAGTTGACAACTTGTATTATGTCTTACCCCAGCGGGACAAGAGGCTTCCCTGTTGTCCCTTTCTTTTAGCCTTGGTGACAATTTACAAAGATGAACACTTGAGCACCCTAGATGCTTATAGACCAAAGCTAGTACATACAAATGGTTATTACGTCTACACTGACAGGCAGATATTAAATTGGTAAAGTGTATCGAACTAGCTTTTTAAAAAAGTCTTTATTAAAGTTCTTGAGTGGAGTTATTTCTTTGTTATTTTAGGTCAGCCCTCTTGCTTGCTATACACTATGACTCACCAGGTATTGTAAATATCCTTCTTAAGCAAAATATTGATGTCTTCGCTAAAGACATATGTGGACGAGATGCAGAAGATTACGCTATTTCTCATCATTTGACAAAGTAAGTGTTTATGTTAAAAATCCAGTTAATACTAAATTGAAGTTTAAAATAATTGCAACTACTCCATCTTATATACATTAGGTGAGAGTTCATAGTTTGGTTCAGATAGTTTGAAATAGCCATGAGTTAGTCTACCTTTTAGCCAGAAATCAAGCAGAAGTCTAGATTAGCTAGAAGTAGAGTGCAAGATTTTTTCTGGATTTTTGAGACCTTTATCCCTAGGGATCTCAATGTTGTTCATTTTATTCTAAGTATAATCCCCATGCATGGGATAAAAAGAGCCACATCTTTGATTTATTTTCCTTTCCTTTCCTTTTTTTCTTTTTTTTTTTTTTTTTTTTTTTTTTTTTTTTTTGTAGAGGCAAGGTCTCACTCTGTTTCCCTGGCTGGTCTTGAACTCCTGAGCTCAAGTAATCCCCCTGCTTCGGCCTCTGAAAGTGCTAGCCACCATGACTGGCCTGACTTTTCTAATTAGTTATTGAGTCTTGTAATGTCCAATTTAGCAGAAAATCTTGTATTGTCCCCGGGGCTCTCTCCTGTGCCTTCCTTCTTTGAATTTTCCAAGAAGCTAAGGGGTTTCCTAAGTCCAAGGAAGGCAATCTTTCTTTACAAGTCAGAAGAAGGGGAAAAAAGGGCATTCTAATCATTCTGTTATTTCCATGGCCTCACTTGCTGTATTATTGCCATTGTAACCGGTCCTGCAATCTGTTAATGATTGATCTTTGCCACTAGGATGCCTTCACTGATTCAGACCTCTCAGTTTTCATGGTGATTCATATATACAGTTCAAAGCTACGGTGTTTAATAGTTTATGTACTTGTGCTCAGTCATTGTTCCCAGCACCGTGCTCTGGCAGCTAGGCCTCCTAGCTTTATCCACACAAATATTGAGCAAGTTGATGCTCATCTTACACTAAAAACCTTATATGGAGCCTGCCTCTTAGCTAGACTTTGCCTAGGCCTTCATGGTATGTTATCCTTTGAGAGCCATGCTTGTCTTTCCTTTAACCAATATTAGTTGGGATTGTTCTCAATAGTCAGGGATGTTCAAATAATGTTACAGGAAGAGATCAGAGTTCCCTTTCCCTTTTGCTATCAGATCTGTACCTTGAGGCTTTTTTATATCCTGTGAAGCAGCTTTGGTTAGATAGCAGAATGTTCCATGTTATCTTTCCACTGAGTAGTGGGAACCAGCTTGCAGTTGGCCCCTCAATTAATGTGTCTCTATAATCATGAAAATCTCCTGGGCTACTTGCAGCTCTTCCTCAAGTTTTCAATATATTTTAAAATTCTACCTCCTCACAGGAAGCCATTCAATAAAATTCTCTGAATCTGAAGTAAGTGAGTTGGATTTAACAGAGCTAAGCTTCATCCATGACTCATGAGTATCCATGTATCAAACAGGGCTTTGTACTTATTTCAACAGCACATATTTTAAAATTGGATCAATACAGAGCAGATAAGCATGGCTACTGCCTAAGAATGGCACGCAAATTCAGAAAGAATTCCATATTTTGCATAGTCCCAGGAAGGCCATTTGACTATTTGTTGAGTAGCTCCAAGGAAGCAGTGTGAGCAAAACCAAAACAGGTGACACGCAATATTGAAATTGTGATTATCACTGTGAAACTATTGATGTACGGTGATCTCTGAAATGGGAACAGAGCTGAGTAATAAGGGGATGTTACATGTTGCTAGTACGTGTCTTGGAAATGAGAAAATGTCAACTTGCATTTCCTTCATGGAACTGAAAAACAATCATAGCAGGGTTTCTTCTTGTGTGTTAGTTGGAGAGGACCATGGAGATCCAGCAGCCAAGCACAGATCTGCTGGCTCAGAGTTTGAGGAGGTAGAGAAGGAGTGGTAGTTGTCCAAGCCAGGTTTTGACACCTATTAGTTTTCTGCCCTTGGTGTGATTGATGAGCTCAGTGATGAGCTCACTAAATTTATATATGTATATAAATTTAGTAATAAGTTATGAATTAGGTAAAATGCCCTGAATTACAAGCCACAATGAATGCAAGTAATAACCAAAATTAGCACTTAATAACATTTTCTGAAAACTGTAACATTTGAATATTAGAACTTATAGAAAAACACACACCGAGCATTATTTGGGATTCCAAAATGGTTTCAGCAATAAGGTTCAAGAATAAATTATTCCATTGCTTTACTATTTCTCTGAACATTTAAACATGTAATCTCATTACATCTTCTAAACAACCTAGTGAAGTAAGGTAGCAGAATCCTTATTTTTTAGAAGAAACCACGGAGCCTAAGAGAAGCAACTTGTCTGAAAACAAAATACCTACATAACGAGGTATTTTGGTTACAGAGTGAGGACTTACTGTGAGTGCAGGACACTTTGCGTGATATCCAGCTAACTAGAGTTAATTTACTGAGCTGTGCTTCCTCCATTTATGGGCACTTCGCTTTCTTTTCTTCTTTAATTATAAGCTTAATAAGCTTGTAAGGTTTAAAAATTTGAAGTGTATGGGACCTTAAAATTCTGATATTAGGTCTGATATTGTCTGAAATGGTTTTGGAATTTAATATGTTTGGTAAATATTTTTTATTTCAGTATTAAAATAGCAATTTTATTTATTACTTTTGTATACTTAGAATTCAACAACAAATTTTGGAACATAAAAATAAGATACTTAAAAAGGACAAACCAGGTAAGGCTTCTGATAGTGAATTTCTTACTTCTCTTGGTGGTCCTACTCTTGATAAGAAAATAAGAAGTAAGATGTAAGATTACGGTAGTGTCAGTCAAAAAAGACCAGTTTAACAATATGTGTAAATTGAATGTGTATATATGTATATACATATGTAAATTAATTTTTTAAATTTAACTTCTTTAGTTTGAAATTCAGATTTATTTAAGAAGGTAGTTGTAGCTAATTTATAATCTCAAATATTATTGTCTAAAAACATTCATTTATTTAATTATGATCCATAAAATCCTACATAATATTTTTGCATAAATAAGAAAAAAGATGTTTAAGTTAGTATGTTGTATGTTTCCTCTATAGTCACATTATAACAAATGGGACTTGTTATACAAATGGATCTTCTATTTCATTTTTATAATAAATTGTTTACATTTAGTAAACAAATAACTAGAGTTGACCCATGAATAATGTGGGGGTGAAGGACCCTGATCCCTGTGCTGTTGAAAATCTGAGTATAACTTTTGATTCCTTCACCTTAGCTACTAATAGCCCACCATTGACTGGAAGCCTTCCTGATAACATAAAAGGTTGATGAACAACTATTTTGTTTGTGCTGCATTATTATATACTGTGTTTGTACAATAAAATAAGCTAGAGAAATGAAGCTGTTAGAAAGGAAGTCATCAGGAAAAACATATTGACTTTTCATAAAGCATTAGTAGATCCTGGCAAAGGTCTTTATGATCTTCAGGTTGATTAGGCTGAGGAGGAAGAGGAGAGGTGGATCTTGCTGTCTCTGCATTGCAGAGGCAGAAGAAAATCTGCATATAAGTGAATCCCTGCAGTTGAAACCCTTGCTGTTCAAGGGTGAACTGTATTACATATTGATTTGTGTCACTAAGAAAGTAACTATGTTTAGAACCAGGAACTCAGCAATCCCTTTCTGGTACCATAAATAAATGGCAATAAGAACTGTAGAACTGAACCAGCGGGCACCCATACAAATAGGAGATTATTTTTTCAAGATAGCAACTGAACACAGAAGATGGAAAAGCAATTCCTTTGTGAGAAGCACAAGTTATATTACATATTCTTACACAAGCAAAATGATTTTATCTGTCATAGTTCACATACGTACACATACACACACGCACATGTGCACACACGTGTGCACACAGACACAAAGTTAAAAGTCCTGCTGATTCTTAAGGACCAAGTCCAACTGTTCACAGAAAGCGGTGGATAACACTTCCTACTGTTTGGATGCAATTCTTTTGACTTTTTGACTTGTTTTGCAATGAACTGCCTTTAATGGGTTTAAATCATGTTTTTAGTTTTATAAGAAACGAAGAAAAAGATTAGAAGCAAGTAAACGGGAACTCTATGGTCAGTAGTAGACTATAATAGTATACTCGATAGTCATAGGTTTTTCTCCAGTTATACAATTTACTTGAATGATGCACAATTAATCAATTATTATTATCATAGGAGATGGGGGTCTCTCTATGTTGCCTGGGCTAGAATACAGTGTCTATTCATTGGTGCAATCATAGCTCACTATAGCCTTGAACTCCTGGGCTCAAGCAGTCCTCCTACCTCATCCTCCTGAGTAGCTGGGACTACAGTTTTGTGTGGTTACATCTGGCCTGATACACAATTATTTATTTGTTTATTTATTTTTGATACAGGGTCTCCCTCTGTTTCCAGTATTGGCATGCAGTGGTGCCTTCTTGGCTCACTGCAACTTCTGCATCCTTGTACTTAAATGATCCTTTCACCTTAGCCTCCCAAGTAGCTGGGACTACAGGCATGCACTACCACACTTGGCTAATTTTCTTTTTAAGGGTGTTTGTTTATTTGTTTGTTTAATAGGTGAGGTGTCACTATATTGCCGAGGCTGGTCTGGAACTTCTGGGTTCAAGTGATCCTCCTGCCTCAACCTCCCAAAATGCTCGGATTTACAAGTGTGAGCCACTGCACCTGGCCTGCACAATTATTATAAAAAGGAATAAAGCCCAGTTGAGTTGCAGAAAATTGACTATTTTTTCATTTTTTTTTTCTAAAAACATTCATATTGTAGAACATATTGTCAATCACCCAGATTCTCTATTTTTTGTTCGGTTAAAAGAGGATTGCTGCTTATTTCACATTATTTTCCGACATTATTGTTTCATTTATTCCTTTTATGGTTTTATTCAATTGGATAGATATAGAAATACAAGAATCTCCAAGTCAAATATCAAGGGCAAAAAAGAAAAGAAAAACAGATTAGGGAAAGTTATTCTGTGAAATAACCATCTGATTACAGTTACATATATCATGTCAACTTAATACAAATCTTACACAATGCATTTGTGTCAAGGTTTCCCAAGACCACCCCAGGTTTGTTGGTTCATTAGAAGGACTCACAGGACTCAGCAAATAGTCATACTCAGATCTTTAATTGATAACAAGAAAAGGGACAAGCAAAATTAGTAGAGGAAAAAGTGCATGTGGTCAATTCTGGAGGAAACGAGGCACAAGCCTCCAGGAGTTCTGTCCTGTGGAGTTCCCAGGATCTGCTTAATTCTCCCAGGCTCACATTTTGACAACATATGTGCAGCGATGTCTACCAGTACTAGAGTCTCATTAGAGACTAAGTGCCCAAGTTTTTCTATGGAGGTTACTCTCCCTCTCATGTACCCAAATTCCAGACTCTTACAAGGAAAGCAGCTGTTCAGAGAAAACACACTGTTTCTATAAACACTTTAGACACAGTGAGCCACTCTTCTCAGGGAATGGTGGAAACCCTCCTAATTCCAATTTCCTAAACACCAGCCAAGGGCCAGCCTTGCATGCAGGCCTTTCTAAGGATGGAATTCTCTTGCCTGTTATATGAAATCTTTTCTGCACACTTTGTATAGCCCCAACTTAATTTTTGGTGTTGTTTTAAAATTTCATTTTAATAACATAATATTATAAGATAAGGTAACTTGGTACTAATTTCTGTTGTATGATCCATCTTAAGTTTCAGTGCTGGTTACTTTTTTTACTTTCAGTGACGAACAGCTATTTGTACATAAGTTACCATAGCAATGTTAGGTAATTATAATCTGTCCTATTTAACTCGTTTACCTTTCAGTAAAATTGTTAAATAAGCAAAATATTTTCTGAGTTAAAATTAGAATAAAAATTGTCTTTTATTTTGATTACATGAATAATCTAGTTTTCATATTGTGATAAATCCCTGCTTAGAATTATGAAATAAGATAAAAATATTCAATCATTTTTATCAATATTTTCTTACCTAAGCATGCAATTAAATTTATTTATTTTATATATTTTATGTACTTCAATTTGAGAAATAATGACCACATGTTGTTACTTTGGTCTTCAATGATCTCTAATTTTTAGGTTCACCCTGTCTTGCTTAAATATATCATAGTAACAGGTTCAGTGAATATCTTTATTTTTTATTTTATTTACTTATTTTTTTTGAGACAGAGTTTTGCTCTTGTTGACCAGGCTGCAGTGCAATGACACAATCTTGGTTCATTGCAACCTCCACCTCCCAGGTTCAAATGATTCTCCTGCCTCAGCTTCCCAGGTACCTGGAACTACAGGCATGCATCATCATGCCCAGCTATTTTTTTGTATTTAGTAGAGATGAGGTTTCACCATGTTAGTCAGACTGGTCTCGAACTCCTGACCTCAGGTGATCCACCCACCTTGGCCTCTCAAAGTGCTGGGATTACAGGCATGAGCCACTGCCCCCAGCCATCTTTTTTACTTATTTATTTTAATTGTTGTTCTGGAGATCCTGGGATGCATAGACAGTGAATATCTTTTTTGTTTTTTGAGATGGAGTCTCACTCTGTCTCCCAGACTGCAGTGCAGTGGTGTGATCTTGGTTAACTGCAACCTCTGCCTTCTAGGCTCAAGCGATTCTCCTGCCTTGGCCTCCTGAGTAGCTGAAATTACAGGTGCCAGCCACCATGCCCAGCTAATTTTTGTATTTTTATTAGAGATGAGGTTTTGCCATGTTGGCCAGGCTGGTCTTGAACTCCTGACCTCAGGTGATCCACTCACCTTTGTCTCCCAAAGTGCTGAGATTACAGGCATGAGCCACTGAGCCCAGCTGAATATTTTTTTTAAATCAATAACCTTATTTCTTAGAGCAGTTTTAGGTTCACAGCAAAATTGAGAGGAAGGTACAGAGATTTCTCATATATCCCATGCCTCCCACACACGCATAGCCTCCCCCATTATTAGTATTTTCCACCAGAGAGTGGTACATTTGTTACAACTGATGAACTTACATTGACACGTTATAATCACTCAAATTTCATAGTTTACATCAGGCTTCACTCTTGATGCTGTACATTCTGTCAATTTGGACAAATGTATAATGACATGACATGTATCTATTACTGTAATATTATCGACAGAACAGTTTCACTGCCCTAAAAATTCTCTATGCTATGCCTTTTCATCTCTCCCTTTCTCCCTAGCAACTCGTGGCAACCATTGATGTTTACTCTGTCTTCATAGTTTTACTTTTTTCAGAAGAGTCATATAGTTGGAATAAGAAGAGTGGATATCTTTTTGAATAGTTAGAAAATTAAAGCTCCATGGCAGTTGAATGTAGTCATTTAAGATGTTCTTTGTCCTTTTGTTTTTCTTTTGCTTCTTTATCATTGTAAAGAATGGTATATTATGATGAGATATGCTTTACATACTTAGAAAACATGATTAGTATATATATGTGGAACATAATAGAAAGGGTTGAGGAAAAGGACACCACGCCGTACCACACAGCACAACCTGGAGCATCTTGCTCTGTGAGGTGGGTCCAGATAGACTCTCTAGCAATGGAAGGGGACAAGTGCAAAGGGTTGTACTTTATAAAACTGGAATCACAAAGTCTTTCATACTTATCTTTGATTGGAAATAAGACCAGGCAGTGAATGCTATTAGGTAAATACATAAGTTCCTCACTGATCCTCTTCCTTTGAGGGATGAGGTTGACAACAGCGTGTATTATGATGACATGATTCACCTACAACTAGATTCTGTTGTGAGGGATGACAAGGGAGTTTTGCTTTATGTGAGGTGAAAAATATTTTTCTCCTACTAGGGAGAATGGCAAGCATTAGAACGTTCTGATAGTAAAAGGGCATTGATAGTTTTCTTTCTATATATTTTTTCACATCAGATAATACTGCCCGGCAGCCTGCCACACCTCCCCAGTGTTTCTTCAGCTTCTCTCTGAATGTGGATAAGCTCTTAAAGGAGTGATCTTTCCAGTGGTTCTTTCTGTGGGAGGTAAAATGGCAGGTGAATTTGGGCCTTGTTATACGTAGGCCAGAGCAAATAGCTACAACTAAGGAAACCACCCAGCACCTTCCCCAGAAGAGTATTAGCCAGAGTAACACACTGATATCTCTTGAGGTCTTCTCCGCTGGTGGCTAGAAAGTCTTTGCAAGGATTCCTGTTTCTGGTCTGAGTCCTATGTTTTGCTGGTTTCTGGTGATAGCGTGTCTTATTCTAAACTAAACAGTTTGAACTGAAGAACTAGAGAGGCTGTATTGTGTTATAACAAAATAAGTGCAGTAGCTCCCCCTTAACTGTGGGAGATACATTCCAAGACCCCCAGTGGATGCATGAAACCATGAATAGTACTGAATCACAAATTGTTTTTCCCTATACATACATATCTATGATAAACTTTAATTTATAAATTAAATTAAATCTGATGTTATCTGTAGATAGGGTGTGAGAATTGAATTGTGTCATCAGCAGGAATGATTACTTACTTGTTGGTGGGGAAAAACTCTCCACACATTTGGTCACAGAAGCCTTCTTTGCTGATGATTGTTGCTGTGGTGTGACAGCAGAGAAAAACTTGTCAAGTATGTCTTTCTGTGCATATAGTGGATAAGGGGTACTATTGTATACTCTGTTTTAATGGCCCCTCATATTTTGTTCCAGAAATCATGCTCTTTGACACTGTTGACTCATCATACCTGTTCTGCTAACAATACCATTTTTACTCAATCTCATAGGGTTTGACTAGGATGACTTGTATACTGCAGTTCACTTGTAGATACCAAGTTTTAATAAATGTATTCTTCTTTGCATCTAATAAATACAAAGGGAAGAGTTCTTACTGCATTAATTACCTACCAATAAGTATGATGAATGTTAATTCTAATAAGGTCCCAGGCATGCTCCCAAAGGAATGCTCTGTAACAAAGCATCAGTCTTATGCTTTAAAAAACCAAACCAAACCAAAACAAAAACAACAACAACAACAACAAAAAACAGGATCTAAAGCATACACACAAGTGTACACAATTTTTTTATGAAGGTAGAGTCTTACTATGTTTCCCAAGTTGGTCTCAAACTTCTGGGCTCCTCAAGTGATCCTCCTGCCTCATCCTCTCAAGTAGTTTTGATTAGAGGCATGCGTCACTGTGCATTCTTATGCTTTTAATATTCTGTACATTTATTGTTGATTTAAAATGCATTTTACCTTTTTCTTTAATAGATGTTGGAATTTCTGATGAATCTGCAGTCAGGTAAGATTTCATAGATTTAAAAAATTATGTTAACTAAGAAAATATAGATGGAAGAAACCAATATCTATTGAGTGTTGTATTCTTGGCTAGACATCCTAATATGTTCTATTCATTTATCATCTCATAAAGCCATCATAACATCTGTGTTCCTATAACCTACTATTAAATAAACAACTATGGATTAGAGCTGATTAATTGCCTCATGATCCCATAGTTAAAAAAGTAGCTGGCCTACAGTTTGACCATTAGCCTGCCTGCCTTCCAAATCCTTTCTCTTGCTCCTCAGCATAGATAGATATCTGTGCAGCCCTTGGATCAAGTTATAGGTCTGAATCAGATTAATCAGATTCATTAATCTGATTAATGTCTAAGTTAATGAGAGTTTAAATACCTTGAACTCTCATTTAAGTTTATTGCTAGAATGTGGTTAGTCCTAATAAATTTGACAATTTCAGTGGTAGCCAGTATCTTATTTTTACCATCAAAGGCTCTAGGGCAGATCTGACTTAGCTTTGGCCATAGGACTGTAAGTTTTACCACAGCAAGTTTAGGCAAGTCTTAGAGACAAATTATTTGACTTCCCAGTTTGGTTTTCCATTTAGGCTAGTATTTCTGCTTACTTCCATAATACATTTTTTAGTCTTGTTGCTTTTTCCATGACTTTTCTATAACCTTGTCTTCATTTTTTAAAACTTTCTTCTCTGCTTTTCTTGGTGTTTCTTTTGTTCTATTATTTTTTCAAACTCTGCTGCCTATGTATTCCAAGTTTTTCTATAGACAGAATCAAGAGGACACAGAATTACAGGATTTTAAGGAATCTTGGAATGAATTAAAATACTTTCTAGTATTTTTACCTGTGTTGAACTCTGGTCAAGTGATTCTCTAGATAGAGGATGTGAAGCTCAAAGAGATTAGGATGCTTTTTTTTAGACATAGGAATTGGCAGAAATGAGATTTGAACTCATGTTAAAGCCCAGTACTCTTGCTTCTTTTTGTATACTATTGGCATGTGTTTTAATAATACAAACGGGAGTGAGTCTGTAGATAGAATGAGAATGGAATTAGCTGGTGAACACAATGGAAGTAGATAAGAATGGAATGAGCTGGGGAAGTCCAAGTTTGAAGATAAACAGCACTGGATTGGATAGGAGTACGGACTCTTCTATAAGAGATCAAAGTATTGGGGTTTATGACAAGTTTGATAAAGATAAATTATAAAAATGAAGGACACAAGATATTGGGAATTATCTACAAAGGCACATTAAAATAGAAGGTTCAAGGGAGCTCTAAAAAGTTTGCTGCTTTTTTTTAAATCAACGACTGACAAACTTGAAGATTTTTACTGAAAGATGTTAAAACATTTTGAGACACTGGGAGGAGTGTCTACAGCAGATACAAATGAGGTGTCATCTACTTCCATCCTGACTTACAAAAGGGTGGCTTAGAGCCCCTGGAGTACTAAGGGGCTGGAAATTGCTGAACTACATAGACATGTGGCACAGGGTAGGTGTCTCCTCACTTCTTCCTGTTTTCCCAGTTCACTGATGTCCTTCCCATGTCCATGTGGGCTGGGTCAGGGGCATGATTAGCTGGCAAATCAGTCATGGAGTTCAATTGTGTAGTTGGTAGTGTGTATAGCTGGGGGCAGGTGATGGAGACTCCAGTTAGCTTGTTTTTCAAGAGCAGGGATATAGAGAGCTCCTACTCCTGGTTATTTGAGGCCATCCTTTCAGGAATCTGTGGTTTCATAGACTGAAGATTTGAAGATTGGAGACTTCCGTGGAGCCCTGTGGAAGTGGAATCTGGAAGTGGGAGCCCATAGGAAGAAAGATGCTTAGATAATACTTAGGGAAATAGAGGTACAACTATGAGGACTCGGTTTTTTTCTGGCAGTCTCTCTCCTTGGGTGTCTGAGTACCTATGAAAATTTTTAAGGGCTTGCTAGTTTATGTGGACCTGAATAAGGTAGGACCTATAGAGTGAAAATAATGGGATTTTATAATTGTTAATATTTTAATCTTTCTGGGAAAAGTATTCTCAATAAGAACATACACCTTTGTTATTTGACTTCTGTACATTTGGCTTTCATACATTTCAAATATTGTAGGGGCTTTCCTGTACCGATTTAGGGCAAAGGAAAGCAATAGGACCTTCCTAAGTTGGATCCATGCCGAGGAATCAAGACTGCCATTGTGAAGTGATGCAGATTAGTCTTTTATCCAGAGACAGATCATGGGAAAGAGACAGTGGATCTTTCTAACTTGTTTTAGGTCATCAGTTTTCTTCCAGTTTAGATAACAAAATTTATGTCATCCACTGATTGAATTTTAAGTTCAGCTTCAGAACAGATAATTTGTGAGGGCAAAGTATTGTCAGGCTCTGCCAATGTATTGACTGTCACTATTTGTTATAAAGCTCAAGGTTAGTTTTCATTGAATATTTTATAGATTTAGACAGGTGGAGACAGAAGTAGGTAAATAGAATCTATTTTTAGAACAGAGGACATATTTTAATTATATCAAGAATCATAATTTAATATATAGATCACTGACCTTTCCCCAGATTATGTTTTCCTTTTTTTGAGGGGGAAGCTGGATATAAACCGGCAGTTAAAAAAATTGTAAAGAAATCAACTTGCTCATTTTCATTGTGTATTTTTGCTCTCAAGCATTTTGCATGAACTGTGTGTGGATTTATTGCCTGCATTGGATGATGAAGACTTGAGTGTTGCTACTAAGGTAAAGTGGTCTCTTGTAAAATTAATTTTCTCACTCTGAATGTAGTTTTGCAAGTGTTTACTTTTCAAATTTAGCAGTGGTTCACCTATAATTGTTTTATGGTGGTAATGGAAAGTTGCTCAGAGAAAAACATACATATGGCTAGTTGATTCAAAAAATGTGCTTAACTTTGGTAACTAACAGAGATTGATAAGTACTGTGACAGGGTGGGAGCTGAAAAATAAATGAACTGGAAAATAAGTAGTTGCAGGAAAATCACATTAGGAAATTCTTTCTCCAGTAGAGGAAATATGAAATTTGGTTAAGGTTTATATGGATAAATACTAATACTTTGACTTTTAAATCATACAAGTGTGACTTTCTTAATATTTATGCTTGTATAAATCTTCAGTGGATCAAATTATTTGCAGTAATCATGGAATCTTCTGGTAATTTTTAGTGGCAAAAATGTTCAGCACATAGCATATAGCTTTTGTTCTTGGAAACTTATTATTTTGGTGTGATATAGTTTTTAGGAGAAATTGTTTCTCTACTTATATTATTGGTTCTGTAGTGAGACTAAAAAATATTAAAAATTGTAGAAAAACAGCTGAGTTTGGTGGTCTACCCCTGTAGCCCCTGCTACTTGGGAGTTTGAGGCAGGAAGATTGCTTGAACCCAGGAGTTTGAGAACAGCCTGGGCAATATTGTATCTGATTGAAAAATATAAATTGTGGAAATGTAGAAATTTAAATTTATGTTCTCAAGATTTGTATTGCAAAGGGATTTTTGTGTGGTTTGAGTTGTCCATGAAGAGTTTATATAAAACATGTCATCTAATTGAATAACATGTATTTTGCTGCAAATAACCAGTTCTAGAAGCAGAGACTCTTAATACCAATATGGTAAGACTTTATCATCGTAATTTTGTCATTGTAGTTTATTTAAAATATTTACTTGGCCAGGTGTGGTGGCTCACACTTGTAATCCCAGCACTTTTGGAGGCTGAGGTGGGTAGATCACCTGAGGTCAGGAGTTCAAGATCAACCTGGCCAACATGGTGAAACCCTGTCTGTAAAAAAAAATAAAAAGCACAAAAATTAACCAGACATGATGGTGTATGCTTGTAATCCCAGCTGCTCAGGAGGCCAAGGCAGGAGAATCGCTTGAACTCAGGAGGTGGAGGTTGCAGTGAGCCAAGATTGCACCATTGCACTGCAGCCTGGGTGACAGAGCAAGACTACATCTTAAAAAATAAAATAAAATAAAATAAAATAAAATAAAATAAAATAAAATAAAATAACCACTCAAAGTCCTTATATCATATTCTGAAATTTTGAATGTCAGAAAGTTTTCTATTTAGTTGTTTAAATAATCATTGGAAGCTCCTGCATACCATAAGCTACTGGAGGTCAGTAAACATATTTGTGTGTATCCTGGAGTACCTAGAATACAGTCTTCCATGTAAGAAGCATTTTATTTGTTGTTTTGGGGGATGGGGTTTCACTCTGTCACCCGGGCTGGAGGGCACTGGTGAGATATTGGCTCACTCCGATCTCCATTTCCTGGGCTCAGGTGATCCTCACACCTCAGCAATCCAAGTAGTTGAAACAATAGAGCTATGTCACCATAGACCTGTGTCTCCATGCTAGGCTGAGTTTCATAGAGACAGGGTTTTGCCTTGTTGCCCAGGCTGGTCTTTAACTGTTGGGCTCAAGTGTTCTGCTCGCCTCAGCCTCTCAAAGTGCTGGGGTTACAGGCATGAGACATTCAGCTTTAATAGTTGTTTAATCTGAATAAATAGACAAATGAATTTTTATATAATGGAATATTATAAGTAATATAATAAACCTAATGTATCTAATAATTAAATACCGTTTTTAAAATATTGCTTACATTGTATTATTTTTTAATATTAAAGGGTGTATAAGTTTTGATATGTTATGTTGAGAAATTATGCCATAATTAAAAAGAAAATAAAATAGAAATAGGTCATTGGTAGCAAAGAGGGTTACAATATATTTTCTAGTATTATTCAACTGGAATCTTAACATTGAGATTTTAGATTAACATTTCTTAAGTTTTTTATTAGACCCAACTCATGTTCTATTAAATATACCTTTTCAAGCCATACATTACTCTTTATTATTATTATTATACTTTAAGTTCTAGGGTACATGTGCACAAGGTGAAGGTTTCTTACATACGTATACATGTGCCATGTTGGTGTACTGCACCCATTAACTGGTCATTTATATTAGGTATGTCTCCTAATGCTATCCCTCCCCTCCTGCCCACCCCATGAGAGGCCCTGGTGTGTGATGTTTGCCATCTTGTGTCCAAGTGTTCTCATTGTTCAGTTCCCACCTATGAGTGAGAACATGTGGTGTTTGGTTTTCTGTCCTTGCAACAGTTTGCTCAGAATGATGGTTTCCAGCTTCATCCATGTCCCTACAAAGGACATGAACTCATCATTTTTTATGCTGCATAGTATTCCATGGTGTGTAAGTGCCATATTTTCTTAATCCAGTCTATCATTGATGTACATTTGGGTTGGTTCCAAGTCTTTACTATTGTGAATAGTGCCGCAATAAACATACGTGTGCATGTGTCTTTATAGCAGCATGATTTATAATCCTTTGGGTATATACCCAGTAATGGGATGGCTGGATCAAATGGTATTTCTAATTCTTGATCCTTGAGGAATCTCCACACTGTCTTCCACAATGGTTGAACTAGTTTACCGTCCCACCAACAGTGTAAAAGTGTTCCTATTTCTCCACATCCTCTCCAGCACCTGTTGTTTCCTGACTTTTCAATGATTGCTGTTCTAACCGGTGTGAAATGATATCTCATTGTGGTTTCGATTTGCATTTCTCTGATGGCCAGTGATGATGAGTATTTTTTCATGTGTCTGCCATACATTACTCTTTAGAATTCTGGTGACCAATTCTTTTTCTGGGTGGAAAGTTGATGGAAAGTTCCAGTTTTCTCTTTCTGTTATAATAATATTCTTTCAGGTAGTGGTAGATGACCATATTTAGCTAATTGAATGTCTTATAGTAAGAAACGCTATCACAGAAGTACTTACAAAAAACTAATTACAGCATAAATATTAATTAGTATTATCAGGGGTATGAAAGACCGAAGGCTCTGTTATAGATCTATTTCCCCATGTGCTTTATTGTACTTCATGTTGTTTGTTTTCTTTCTTGGCTTAAGCTGATATTTCATTGACCAATTAGGCTTGTTTTTTGTTTGTATCTCTCTTCATTCTCACATTTTAAATTGAAATTTTTGGGGAGTCAGGGTCTTGCTCTGTTGTCCATGTGCAGTGTAGGGGCATGATCTTGGCTCACTGCAGTATCCACCTCTCAGGCTCAAGTGATCCTCCCACATCAGCTTCCCAAGCAGCTGGGACTACAGGCACACACCATCATGCCTGACTCCTTTTGGTATTTTTGTGTAGAGATGTGTTCTCATTATGCTGCCCAGGCTGGTCTCAAACTCCTGAACTCAAGCAATCCACCCACCTTGGCCTTGCAAAGGGCTGAGATTACAGGTGTGAGCCACCATGCCTGGGCAACATTGAGATTGATTTAAAGAAATTGATTAGGGCTGGGTGTGGTGGTGCACACTGCTTATCTCAACACTTTGGGAGGCAGAAGTGGAAGATTGACTTGAGCCCAGGAGCTTGAGACCAGCCTGAGCAGTATAATGAGGCCTTGTCTCTACAAAGATAACAATAAAAACATTAGCATGGCATGATGGTATGCACCTGTAGTTCCAGCTATTCAGGAAGTTGAGGTGGGAAGATTGCTTGAGGTCAGGAGTTTGAGACCACGGTGAGCCATAATCAGGCCCCTGCATTCTAGCCCTGGGTTGACAGAGTGAGACTCAGTTTCATAAAAAGAGATTGATAAGAAACTCTTGATGCAACTCATTATAATTTTAAATGGAAACTAATTCTTGATATTACCTTAGCAGTGTGTCCCCGAGAAAGTGTCAGAGCCTTTACGTGGACCTTCTCATGAAAAAGGAAACAGAATAGTCAATGGAAAAGGAGAAGGTGAGAACCGTATTTTATTTAAAAAGTCATTTGATGGAGGCCAGGCGTGGTGGCTCACGCCTGTACTCCCAGCACTTTGGGAGGCCGAGGTGGGCCAGTAATGAGGTCAGGAGATCGAGACCATCCTGGTTAGCATGGTGAAACCCCATCTCTACTATAAACACAAAAAATTAGCCGGGCATGGTGGCGGGTGCCTGTAGTCCCAGCTCCTCGGGAGGCTGAGGCAGCAGGATGGTGTGAAACTGGGAGGTGGAGCTTGCAGTGAGTGGAGATCGTGCCACTGCACTCCAGCCTGGGTGACAGAGTGAGACTCCATCTCAAAAAAAAAAAAAAGTCATTGATGGAATGTTTCTTTTAAAATATGAGCACTGATAGAGTTTAATAGCTAAAGAAAATGTCCGACTAACCGTATAATAAGTAAAGGAGAAGTGAAATGGTGATAAGTGGTGTCTCTAACCAAGGGTCAGCAGTTGATTCTATTTGAAGTACCACTAAAGGAGCTGAGTTATGAGTTCCATTTTAAGATACTCTAAGACCTGAGGCAAGTCAGGAGAGAGGGAAGAGGAAATGAATAAAAGAGAAACAAAGAATGAGGAGGGCAGAGTGTACATGGGATAAATAAAAAAAGTGGATGTCTGTAATGGAGGGTAGTAAAGTCAAAATGATCTGTAGAAGAAGGAAGAACAGGGTGTTAGAAATAGGAAGGAAGATAAAGTGAGCTTCCAGTACCAAAATATGTCATATAATTACAGTAACATTTTCCTTCTCTTGCTGTCATCCTCGCTAGTGGGGAGGCATTAAGGATTGAGGTACTTTACCACGCAGACCTGTGTTTTATCTACCATAGATGAACATCACCGTAAATGGTCAGCCATGTATGGCTATAATTTGTTTTTATAGAAAATGTTGTAACTTCATAGGATAGTATCATATTAACATAATTGAAAAGAATAGTGTTGGGTGATTTATTGGGAAGAAATTAATTAGAGAAGCTTTGCCTGATTAAAAGTTCATTAGAAACATTATGGCTTATAATGTAGTATTAAATTCAGGGACATAATAGGAAAGAAATTGAGGCTAGACCAAAAAGGCCAATTAGGGTAAACCAATATGGAAGCACACCAGTGTAGAACAGGGCATTCAAATTGTCATGAATTAGTTGAGGAGCTTCTGGAAAGTGCACAGTCTGACTCAGCAGGTATGGGAGTCTGCATTTCTCATGAGCACTCAGGTGATGTTTGTGCTGGTCCTTGGACACAGCTCTGAATAGCAAGGGAATAGCCTTCCTTTAGAGAAATCTGGAAAAAGAACCACTGGAGAGCAATTTAAAAAATAACAGAATCCAGGGAAAGCTTTAATTTCCTTTTATTTCTGAGCATGATTCTATCCACAGGGGAAGGAAAATGAGATGAAAAAAGAGAGATTACAGGTGTATACTACTGCTGAATACAGATGAAAAAAGTGGTCACAATCATCCATAAAAAGCAGTTAGGAAGGGAAGCATCAGGATGACAGTTCTGATAATCATTTTTTCAAAGGAAGAGGGATTGTGAAAGGACACAAAAGGAGGAAAGAAAGATATTTGCTGGGGTCTTGGGAGTTAAAGCCAAGTAAACTTGAGACAGCTCACTTCCATTTGCTTCAGCATATGTCCAGTCTCACAAAAGAGGTTATTGCTGTGGAGAGTACTGGAGGCAGGAGAGAGTGCTAGAGTTGGGGTAAACCACAGCAGCTCAATTTACTTGACAACTGTCAGGCCTCAGGGAGAGAAGTTTCACTGACATGAGTGAATAAGATGTGATTAAGTTGCATATAGATGCTTTGGCAAATTTTTTTTGAGACAGCCAGTTCTTTGATATGATAGCTGTTTTATAAAAGTCCTTTACAGTGTAAGATAATATACCAAACTTAGTTAATTTTAGAAATAATCATAAAATTCATTCTGTGAAAACCAAAATTCTCATTTTCAATAAATACTGCACTGATTTTGAAATATAAATATGTATTCATATCCAGCAAGTCTGTGGTCATTCAGTGTTTTCTTTTTTGATAAATATTTTGATATCAGAAGCTTATTCGACATGGTTTATTTGATGTGTTTTATGGACCACCTTGCATAAGTGGATCAAGGAGCTCTAACTCAAGGCCAAATGAGGGGATAGGAGAAATGTAGGTGCTGCAGTAGCCCATGTTATCATGGGAAAAATGAGTAGTTTGATTAGCTGTTATTTCATAAGTGTGTATCCTAGCTGATCAATGTAGAACCCTTTCTTTGATGAGAGGTGAATCACACATTCACCTGAACTGTCATCCCAACTGTGTATTTCCTCAGTGACAAGACAAGGGGAATTTATTTGTGCTGTGCTGGCAGCAATGCCTCTGGTGTGTGGAGTTAAAATACTCTGTACATTCACCATCAGCTTTGACATTGATTCCCTCAGGTTTGATTTGCCCCTCTGTTTAATGGTCCCTTTTCTCCTCATCAGTCCACGTGTTCACGGTTATATCAATGCTTTTCTATTTTAAGTATAGGCATTTGAAACATAATCTCACTACTGAAATGTAAACTGTGCATTTTAGGAATCCTATATTCCTATTTTCCTCATTGTGTTTCTGTCATGTTGCTGTCCTAGGCAATGAAAACAAGAAGCCAAGAAGAACCCTCAAAACCTTAAGTAATTATTTTTATAGCCATGCCTGAGAATTCAACTCAATAGTAACACTGCATGAATGTTTGGTTGGCCCTGTCATACTTACATATAATTGATGACATATCCCCTTTGCTTTGTAGGGCCTCCTGCAAAACATCCTTCCTTGAAAGTAATTAATTATGTATATTTTTGAATCACTAACTCCATGTTGTATAAAATATATATGATTTATGAATCATTTTCTTTTAAAACCCATTCAGCCTAGCACTGAAGTGGAAGATCATGCTGTGAAAGGAGCAGTACAAAAAAGGATGTACAGACATTGAGAGCAGGTACATTTAATGGGATACTGGAAATAAGTACATTCAATGATTGGAAGTACTCACATTATTCTTATTCCTAATTCTATTTGTTCAATATTGAACAGAAGGCATTGACATAAATGTTATTGTTGGTATCCGTATTTGAATAAAAACAAATTTAGAAGCATAAAAAAGATTTTAAAAATGTAAGCTTTAAGTCAGATGTTTCTGTTTTAATGTTTTGAATAGCATGAAGTTTTCAGTATAAAATTTTTATACTTGTCAGGGATTCAAAGCAGTGAATTTTGAGACTCTTAAGATATTTCCAGTGAGTTAAGTGCTAGTTGGAGTTCTGATCTTTACCTAGACGAAAGTTTTACTTTTTAAAGTGTCAGTTTCTGTTTTAACTTTAGAGGCTTGTTGCTAGTGTTATTACACTGATGATCTGAAGCCTATCAGATGTTCTAACGAGCAAGACTGTGTGTGTAGGTGTATATATAGGTGTGTGTATGCGTGCATTTGTGGCATCTTTGACTATTACAAATGACGAAAGTAATGATTCATTTATAACTGGTAGACACAGTCTTTTAAAATGGTAATTTTGAGACTTTTTGGTGTTAAAGTTTTTAAAACATGATTGCATAGAGGCTACCAACATCATAAGTTGGTTGTTTTTCATTTCAATGCCTTTTTGAAATCTTTAACTACATTGTGATGCTCAGAAATAATATGCAGAATTTTTTGTGTCCTAAAATGGTACGTGAGTGGTTATACGCTTTATATACCTTTCTGCCACTTTCTTTGGTGTGTTTTGTATTATATTTTACACTTGTACCCACACTGGTGTGATTATCTCTGGTTTAATTCATTTTACACTGTTCATTGTATTCCCTCATACCAGTTTACCACATTTAGTTAGACTCTCCTGTTGCTGATAAATGAAGAAATAAAAATAAAAATAATGTCAGATTAAGAGGGCTTTTCTTTAATCAGTTTGTATCTATTAGCATTTACTATATGAGAGTTTAAACCTGAAAAGTTCAGAATACAAGCATGCACCACTATATTTTATTAATGCCCTTAGAACTATGACTCATGAGCCTTTAGCCTATGAAGTTAGGACAATTCATTTCTCTGAAAAAGAATGCTGGGCTGTTCTCAGAAAAGAAAACTGAAAATAGCAAATGATATTGTCTTATTTTACCTCTTGGACATCCTTGAATGAAACAGCTACTAAAGGGATACTCGGATCAAAATTCAGAACTAATGTTTTGAACACTATAGTTTGTGAATGTCCAGTGATCATGAGCCCTTGACGGGGAAATGACCTTTCGAGTTTAACTTTTGCATTTTTTGCTCTTTTCCTTGACTTGTCTTGAAAGCTTAAATTCAACTGTTTTATTTTTACAGAAACCAGGAATATAACTTTTAAAATATATGTCTGTCCTGTCTCACGGTGTTGTGTGCTCTTCAGATCTTGTGTGAACATAGACTTATATGGGAACAATTAGGTTTTTTGTTTGTTTGTTTGTGTTTTTGAGACAGAGTCTTGCTCTGTCACGAAGGCTGAAGTGCAGTGGCTCAGTCTTGGCTCATTACCACCTCTGCCTCTCGGGTTCAAGCAATTCTCCTGCCTCAGCCCCTCGAGTAGCTGATACTATATGCACGTGCTACCATACCCTGCTAATTTTTCTATTTTTAGTAGAGATGGGGTTTCACCATGTTGGCCAGGCTTCTCTCGAACTCCTGACCTCAGGTGATCTGCCCACCTCGGCTTGCCAATGTGCTGGGATTACAGGTGGGAGCCACTGTGCCATCTACAAATAAGATTTTTAAGGCTATTATATTTTATACAATTCTTTGGTCTATGTGAATTCTGAAGGTATTCATGCATTGAGGGAAGATTATCTCAGTTTAATGAAAGCAGTTTTTAATTTAACGTATATTCATTAAAATATTTTTTGAAGTTTTTGTCTCTAGTACACAGAAACACACAATAATATCATGGGTATTTGACCTTAATGTGTTTATGCACAAACTTAGTTATTCAAATATTTTCTTATCCCTGAAGAATCTTAATTACTAATAAACAAATTTCTCATGGAAAACAACATATATAACAGAGATGGTTGAGTGATTGAAAGTAAACTGTAGTAAATACGAGAAGCTTAGAACAAGTTAAGTAAACTTGTCTGAGTTAATAGCAATTACAGGACTTTTAAAATACATTAGACCATGGGGGAGTAGTGCATTTGTGGGGTACAGGACAACATGGTACTGCTTCAGTGAAGAAAGAACTTTTACACCTTATTACAATTTGTATTATTATTTACATTCTAATAAATAAAAACTTTATTTTCAGATATTTTACATCATGTTTCTACTAGTTGAATCATCAATAGTAAGACTTTTCAAAGATTTGGGAAGTTGTGAGTTGATGATAAATATCTGTATCACCATCAGTGATCAAAAATCAGACAGCAACTACCACAGATTTTGGACACGTGAACTTCATAGTTAAAGAAAGGATTAATCTTGGAGCTGTGTTTCTATCAGGGAATTACACTCTTCATTACCTGTGTGAATCGCAGTTATTAGAGTAGAAAGAGAGCAAAGAAGGGAAAGAAGCATAGAAAATTTTATTCTAGATTACCTCGTTTGGCTTCATGCTACCATAGTTCTGACATTTAATAGTCATTTTTTGGTCAAATGTACTTTGTGTTTACTCCCTTTATGCAGCCTACAACCAAACAGAATGGTTCTTAGCAAGGCATTTCTATTCTTCCCTTAAGGAAAACAACATATAAATAACAAAGAGAATGAGAAGAAAGAGTGATTTCATTGAGGTTGGTATTTAACATAAATTTGAGTGCAGGTACCATGATTATATTTAGAATTTTGTGGCTGGATGGGAAAACCACCTAGATATCTACAGATTTCCTACTCAAACACAATGTGCCTTTGTTTTATTTTTACGTCTCTAATTTAGCAATTATTGGGTACAACTGTATGCAGAGTCACTAAAAATACCTTCCAAAACCAAATATTAAATAATGTCTATGGCTCTCTGTTTTATAGTGTGGATTTTCCCAATATTAATGGGAACCATTGAGCATTTGCTTTGTGGTGTCTCCTCAGCTGTATTCACATATTTCATCACCTTTTCTTAATGGATAATCATGCACTACGAGTATGGGTTTTCAGAAAAGCTGTGTCATTTAAAGATAACACAGGAGCATCAAATTTAATTCTGCTAGAACACCTGGTCTACTGATTAACTGCAGCTAATATGGGGTCTACTTCACATACAAGTTAAATTCAGTGCCCTTAATCAGTCATATGATGAGGTCAACAGTAATAAATTATGCAATATTTTTTCACCCACCCCTATAGTTTTAATTTTTTTCCCCTTATGTCTGTAATTAACATTTTGTTTTGCAAAACATAATGATAATCTTCTAGAGTAGTGATGACAAGCTATAAATCCAAAGTTTCTTACCTATGCAAATGACTTGTTTGCTCTATTTTCTCATGAGCTTGGTAGATCCAGGAAACAGAACTTTTAAAACAAATCCCCATATGTTGCTGGGTGCGGTGGCTCGTGCCTGTAATCCCAGAACTTTGGGAGGCTGAGGTGGGCAGATAACCTGGGGTTGGGAGTTTGAGACCAGCCTGACCAACATGGAGAAACCTATCTCTACTAAAAACACAAAATTAGCTGTTCATGATGGCACATGCCTGTAATTCCAGCTACTTGGGAGGCTGAGGCAGGAGAATCGCTTGAACCCAGGAGGCAGAGGTTGCCATGAGCTGAGATCACACCACTGCACTTCAGACTGGGCAGGAAGAGTGAAATTCCATCTCAAAAAACAACAACAACAACAACAACCACAACAACCACCACAAAACCCAAAAAACTGAAACAGAAAAAGTGTAAAGTAAATACAAGTAACTGAAAGAGTTTATGTATATTATTTTACTTCTCATTTGATAAAATTTGTAAAGTAATGAGCAGAGTGTATTTCTCCAGGGACCCAGATATATACATTTATTCTTTCAATAGAAATTCATTCTTATAATGGCCACTGATACCTATATCCTAAATATTTCTGAAAACATCTCCTCAGGCCTGCATCATCTTTGCAACATTGCCTTATATTTTATCTTTGTTCATTTCTTTATATGCCTCAGAATTTTATGCTCCTCACAGTATTTAGAGTGAATTATCCCTAATGCAAATAGATCCGTGAACCACTCCTGAATACCTAATGTCCAAGCATCTTAAAGGTTTATATAAGGATTTCAGAAACTGACTTCTGGGTTGGGCACGGTGGCTCATGTCTGTGATCCCAGCACTTTGGGAGGCTGAGGCAGGTGAATCATTTGAGGTCAGGAGTTCAAGACCAGCCTGGCCAACAAGATGAAACCCCATCTCTAATAAAATACAAAAGTTAGCAGGCGGTAGTGGCACGTGCCTGTAATCTCAGCTACTCAGGATGCTGAGGCAGGAGAATTACTTGAACCTGGGAGGCCGGGTTGCAGTGAGCCGAGATCATGCTACTGCTCTCCACTCTGGGAGACAGAGTAAGACTTTGTCCCAAAAAAGAAAAGAAAGGAAAGTGATTTCTGCCCAAATCTCCATCTGTAGCCCTTTCCCCATCTGCCTTTTTCTCTAGAATTACTGAGCTGCTTGTAATGGCCCCCTTACCATTCCTCTTCTGCAGAGAAATACGTACTCTCTTGGAGGCTTCTCTCTCTCTCTTTGCTTCCTGGCATGTGCTCACTCTTTCCTGCCCTCTGCCTCACTTAATCTGGCTAACCTCATCTCTAAGTCTCAGCTCATGCATGATCTTTAGGAAAGCCATCCCTGACAGCTTTTATTTTCCTTCCTTATTCCCCAGTGCCTAACACCTAGCAGGAGCTCAATAACTAATTATTTAGCAAAATTAAGACTATTTATACAAACATGATTCAAAAGATTGTCCTCTACAGTCTGGCAGCAAAGGGGATCAACATGTAAAGACATGATGTGCAGTTCAGGTGGTAAAGTGACACTAGAAAAATTGACAAAGTGCTAAGGGACCCCAACAAAGCAGACACCTGTTTGTTTGGAGAAAGATAGTTAAAATCAAGGAATACTTCACATAGCATTCTGAGCCTTTTATTTTTCTGTTGTTGGAGACAAGTTCTTACTCTATTACCCTGGAGGGAGTGCAATGGCATGATTGAGACTCACTGCAACCTCAAACTCCTGGGCTCAAGGGATCTTCTCACCTAAACTTCTTGAGTAGCAGGGACAACAGGCACATATCACCATACCTGTCTAATTTTTTGTAGAGTCAAGGTTACCTATGGTTCCCAGGCTGGTCTTAAACTCTTGTCCTTGAGCAATTCTCCCATTTTGGCCTTCCAAAGTGCTGGGATTACAGATGTGAGCTATTATGCCAAGCCTACTTTCTGAGTCTTAAAAGATGAAAATAAATTTTTCAGAATAGCAGGGGAAAACATTTGTGATGTAAAAAATGGGGTGCACACTAATTGAGATATAAACAATGATAATTTTGCAAATTATTAGTAACTGCCAACTCAATTAGTATCTTGTTAAAAAGATACTGTTATGAGGTATAGTAAAGTGTTACATTGTGTATTTTGACTGTATTTCAAAATTCTGTTTTGTTTCCAACAGTTTTGTTCACTTACGTTGGGTGGAACAATTTGTGAGTGACCCTGAGATTTTGTATGGTTTGAATCTGGTGATATCTAGTGTCTCCCCAAGTGATTTGTTGAAGTTTTGGATAATTAGAAGTATTTCTTACAGAAGTAAATATTTCAGTAAACATTAAGCTTCATTTAAACTCTCAAAATATAAAGAAATGTTATTCTTTATTTATTTTTATAAAGATTATAGTCTTTATCTAACTCTTCTTAGTTCATTTGAACTAAACCAGTGAATTTGTCAACAGAACAAGCCTTACCAGTGGCTTCAGAGGAAGAGAAAGGAAGGTGTGAAAGAAGTGAAAAGAAGCAACCACAGGTATATGAAAATTTAAGTTTCTTGTTTAATATTAGTTTTTTTTTTGCTTTAGTAACAAAGCATAGTCCAAATGATATGACCTTTTAGACTATACCTTTACAATCCAATAGATCATAATTTTATATTTAATTTTTAAAACATTTTAACCAGTTATGAAACTTAAAATATTCTTACTATCTCTAGTAACTACTAGTTATTCTAGTAATTCTTACTAACTCTAATAACTCATAGCTGTCTTTACCCTTGGAATTGAGGCAAGAAATTTTCAGAATTATCTTGCTCTTTTATTTGTATAACCTTACTCATAATACAGAAGGTAACATGAAATATTGGGTCATATTATTAAGGAATAGAAATTATGAACAGTTTAACAACAATGTCCACTGAGTTAAAGTAGTGTTAAAGGAGTCATCGTTGCCAGTGGTTCAAATGTTGCAGTTTTATATTGCTGGTCACCAGTGCCGAGTTTAAAGATTTATTCTCTTTCGTGGTCACCAGTTGACTTCTGTGTCTGTGTTCAGGGAGTGAATGGGGTCATAAAAGTCAACCCAGTTGCCTATTAAGAGAATCCTACCTTGCAGAATGGGACCTTTGGTGTCAGGGTGCAAACAATAACTTTATTTCAACATAAATACATAGTAAATATTACTAAAATTTAAAAAATCCAAACCTTGTCACTACTGGAACATAAAATATATTAGAAGTGGATATAAGCAGAAATTCTATCTAGATACATAACACTATCATAGTATATCATTTGAATTAGAATTTAAAATTTTGCTTCTCTTTCTTATTGGTGTTCAGTTTGGCTCTTAATAATTTAGTGTTTGCCTAGTGCTCTAGTTAATCTTCAGAAACAAACATGCATTGTAGGGGCTCACTCTTTCTGGTATGCTGAGGTAAAGTCTTTGTAAGAGAGGAAGCTTTTATAATACTACCTATCATCTTTGAATTCATTTCTGGTAGATTTTACACATATTGCATTAAGTTTAGTACAAACAGACGCTGATAGTTCAGCTTGCTGGTTCATGTTTCTGTCCTATGTTAAGCCAAGGCAAATTATTTTTCAATTTTTAGTTACAATCCCATAATTTAAGAGTAGCAACACACAGATTAAGTTTCACAGTTAAAATTTAATTATTTTCTAATATTTATTTGTTTATACTTGATTAAAGCTAATTTTAAAACATGCACTCTGACAGAAAAGACATCTGAGAAACAAAACAAGCAAATTTGTTTTCCATTTTGCACCTGCCCCCCCCCCCCAAAAAAAAAATCGCAAGAACCAGAACTGGGTAAGAATTGTGATAAAGGGAATCTATCTATATATTCACGACTTTCTTTAAAATTCATTACAAAAAAATTCAAGCTGAATATTGGTAAAAGTTTTGAAAACTCCAAAATTACTGCTTGCCCTGAGGAAGAGCTCCTACATAGTAACTCCAAAGAGGGATGAACAAAAAAGGAGTGCCCTCTAAACTGATGAATCATGTCCCTGATTGTGAGGAGAAAAATGCATCTGGAGGATCTAACTCTGTGACAGTCCAGGCAGCGCCTGAACAGAGGAAGCCCATGTCAAATGTCTTTTTATTCCATTCTCACTGCAGGTCCCTGAAATACACTTACCAGTTATCTTCTAAGCTTCATTTAAATTAAAATAAATCAGACTATAAAAATGGTAACAAACCAGACACATAGCTTGTTTCTAATACAGATAATGAAAATTTTTGTTATGATACAGAAACTGGAAAAGTAAGGAACCCAGTAATTATGATTGGAATGAAAGATGATTAAGAGTTTGACATGCAAATGGCAAAAAATATAAACCCAAATATCACTAATTGGAAATTAGACATTAGGCATTGGCCTCAGTCTAGAGATCCAGAAAGTCTTTTTGATTTGTGGTTTACCCACCCCAAAGAAATGAAGCATATGATTCAGATACAAAGCCACAGGATTTCTGCTGCTATAGATACTTGTAAAATCAGAAAACCAATACAGTGCTTATTCCAGAAGCCACTATATGACAGTCCCAGTGCTAATAACTACAAAAGCATGAATCTTGAATTATAAAATGTGGCTTATTCTTTGCCACATAGTAAGAGAACATCAAAAATATAGCTAGAAGACTTACAGCAAGATATTCCAAGGTCACCAACATAGCTCATGTATACATATGTAACAAACCTGCACATTGTGCACATGTACCAGAACTTAAAGTATAATAATACTAAAAAAGAATTAGGTAGGCATGTTACAAGTAGAGTTCCTGGATTTGGAGAAAAAGAAAATCCAACTTCAAAAAGACAGAGGTTCACTTGCTGCTTCTTTTTTCTCTTTATCAATTATTTGATTTAGTCAAATTTTCCATTCAAGAAAATCTCATGTGTACAGTTACAGTGGGATTTTCTAAATGTGTAATTATGTGTCTAAGTAGATTAGTCCTGTTATCTAAACAATGGTTCTGGAGAATGTTCTCATAATGTTTGTTCATTAATCAACCTAAGTCTCACTCTCAGTCTTCCAAGTGGCATATGAGCTGGGAAACTAATTCAGCCATACACCTTGTGATGTTCTGAACCAGATCAACATAAAGAAATTGCTAAAGAAATAAGCTTTAGATTCTAGATTCTTTTTTCTGTATTCATTTAGAGATGAATTACATTTATTTAATGATAAAATGGAGATACAATGGGAGGGAAGCAATGACTGAGATGAGCCACAAAAACACGTCTAGCCTTGAGGGTTGCAATGAATATTCCCAGCCAAATGAGTCTGTTTAATGAGTTTTCATGCATGTAAGTATATCTGCTTAGCTCAAACTATTTGAATTTATAGTTCCATCATGGTTATTTCCAATACTTTGAAAACAAATATATATTTCCACATATTTAAAAAAATCACCACTCCAATATTTCTGTTGAATCAGACCTTGCATTATGTTGTTTAATAAAGTATGGTAAGTTTTGGCATGTATGATTTTTATCATGTAAGAAGCATAATTTCTTAGCTAAAAATTTAGCCTTTGACTCTTTAGTAGAAAGTTGAGTTCTGTACATTGTGTTCTAAAGATAGACAAAAATCTAGAGATTTTCTTCTTTCAAAATAAAAGCAGATGAGGCCTTTTTCCACCCTCTGAGGCGTTAAATTGCTTTGCTCAAGTTAGACTTTTAATATATCTGACTAATTTGATAAATTTATCTGGTAATTTATGTCATTCAGCAATATGGAATTGTATCATGTTATTTGGTGCCATGAAATGCTAGAGAATGCCACCTCAAGAGCTCTGGATGAAACGTTTCATATGTCTTGGTTGGTTTGACTCCCATTTTCAATAGATAATGGGACTAAAGTAGATAACTGTGCCGTATGTTTTCCACCTATAAACGTTTGTGGTAATTGAATGTGAAATCTGGGAAGCATCTCGTTTTCCAGAATTCTGCACTAGAAACTCAGCAGTTTCACTCTGCTTCTTCTGTTGTGGCAAACTTTGGTTCCCATAGTTCAGGGAGAAGTTTCACTTTTTTGATATCACAGGATTCAAAAAAAAAAAGAGAGATAAAAGGCAGTGGGGAAAAGAATAGCTCAGTGCAGAAAAGGGAAAACTTCTTTACTGTTCCTGAAGCCCTACAAGATCACATCCTCTTAATCTGGCTATTTCATGTAAAATCCAGGTGGCAATGACAGAAGATATATGTTATGCCTGTGTTTTTTTATTTCTCTGTTTCTGCCAGTCAGATAGCATAAACACTTATATCAGATAGCAAAGAGTGGATGGGAATAAAAACACAAAATGGAGAAGAGCTCTTTTTGAAATTTTGGAAAATTCTTCCATTCACACAAACAGAAATGAGAAGACTTGACAAAAATTTCAATGATAAAATGATGAGTATATTATAATTATAATAATTATGTATAATGATAAAATTAAAGTAAGCACAAAATACTTTTATCATTAAAATGGTGATAGTTAACCTGAATCAAGTGAAAAAATCAGGGAAAAAGTTTTTTATTGAATGAAATAATAACAATTATTATTCATATTACTTTTATTAGAGGTCAAAGAAGGAAATAATACAAACAAAAGTGAAAAAATACAAGTATCAGAAAATGTACATCATAGTACATCTTCTGCTGTTGCTGACAGATTAACCAAACAAAGAAAGATTGGGAAAACGTATCCTCAGCAATTTCCCAAGAAACTGAAGGAAGAGCACGATAGGTGAGTAAGCCTATAGCAGTGTGTTTTTTTTTTTTTTTTTTTTGAGATGGAGTTTCTCTCTTGTTGCCCAAGCTGGAGTGTAATGGTGTGTTCTCACCTCACTGCAACCTATGCATACTGGGTTCAAGTGAGTCTCCTGACTCAGCCTCCCTAGTAGCTGAGATTACAGCCATGTGCCACCATGCCTGGCTAATTTTTTGTATTTTTAGTGGAAATGAGGTTTCACCATGTTATCCAGGCTTGTCTCTAACTCCTGACCTTAGGTGTTCTGCCCACCTCGGCCTCCCAAAGAGCTAGGTTTACAGGAGTGAGCCACCGTGCCCAGCCACCGATAGCAGTATTTCTCAGCAGATAATTGTCATTGTGCTATAAACTAATTCAAAATTGGACTAATGTTCCTTATGATTAACAAGTTTTACAGTTTTACCAGGGATATTTAGCCCTGCCTGGTAATCAGAAAAATGCAAATTAATATAAAATAAGATATATTTAGTAAAGTCATGCTGATATTGAAAAAGTAATTACTACCATTGAAAATGTGAGGAAAAAGGCATTCTCATACACTGTTCATATATGAAATTGGTAAATTATTTCTGAAGGGTAACTTAGTGCTGTGTATCAAAATTTCAAATAACCTGACATCCCTTTAACTCAACAACTCCACTTCTGGGACTAGATTTCACAGGAAAACATAACTTGTGTAAACATACACACATTAAGGGCATTAATTATATATTACACATAATGAACAATAGCTTAATAAATATATAAAATATATGTAATAAGAAGGTGAATTGGAAGTATTAAGAAAGAATTATAAAAAGTGTGGGGAAACAGATGTTAGACTCTTTAACCTAGTTTTAGATGACAATCATCTGCAAATATAGTTTGTGTGAGAGACATCTTACTCTGTAAATCATTTGGAGAGACACCCGCAATATTTCATAGAGATAAAAATTTATTTCTAGTGAACTTATATGCTTGTCAATAAATAGTAACTTTAAAAATTTAGTTGATTGTAAATGACCTTTTCTAATCAGGGAGTAATTATGACTGTGTGATTTGAAAAGGTAATTTTGAACTTCTAACTATACTGAATTATTTCCAGTATCCTTTTTTATAATACTTACTAGAGTGACTAGTAACAAAAACTTTAGCAGAATATTCTTTCCTTACTACTTTTCAAGTATATGCATTCTTTTGAAGATGTTGAAGTGAGAAATTAAATATCTGAGAACTACAAAGGAAAAATAATCCAGAATATAGAAATTTTATTAGGATGATAAAGAGCATCTGCAGAGGTAGATCACAGGATGATCTCTTTATTTTTTAACAAAATGAATTTTCAGATAAATGTCTTTATCTGTAGCTGCATCTTAAGACAAGAAAATGAAGAAAAGACAAATGTTAATATGCTGTACAAAAAATAGAGAAGAATTAGAAAGGAAAGAGAAACAATATAAGAAAGAAGTTGAAGCAAAACAACTTGAACCAGCTGTTCAATCACTAGAGATGAAACCGAAGACTGCAAGAAATACTCCAAATCAGATAAATCAATCTTTGGTAAAAATTCTATATTTTAAACTTTATTTTATCAATGTTACTTATAATATCCTCTTGATTTAATATGTAATATTTAGGTCTAAAACAAACCAGAAATGTTATCTCATTTTTAAAAAAATGAATGATGACAGTTACAGGTACAATTATTAATATTTATTATAAATCTTGGCATCCATGTAGGTTATTATTTTATTACAAAGAGCTTTTGAAAACAATATTATGCCATAATATATACTTAGTGATAACCTATTGATAAAGATTTTGTTCCCAGTAAAATTGTTCCTTGTACTTCTCCCTATTTCATATTGATTACTGTACCTAATATTATAAAGAGGAAACAAATTATTGCAATCACAAATAATCTCATGATATTCTAAGAAGAGCTCTATAAATTTTATCTTATTTACCACTGGTGTTTTGAAATAAAAGTTTTCTTTCGTATTGATATATTTACACCACAGAAGTAACTGTGATCTGTCAGAGAACTAGAAGTAGAGTCAGAAGTCCTGGGGAAAATTCTGTAGCTTGCTTATATTTTCAACATTTCTTTTCAAAATTGTGGTAACTAGATGAGTTCATCAATGAATGTATATAGGAGTGACTAGTATAATGTCTAGATTTATGATTTAGTAAATGTAATTCTTACAACTGAGTATAAAAGTGTTAAAAGAGTCAAATTGAAATAGAATGTTATCAGTGAAACAGAACTGTAATAACTCTGGGAAATTTTATCTGTCCAAATACGTGTGAACTAAGGTTCTTACTATAGGATGGTGTATGAGTTAGATATCAAAGGGTAAATGCAATTTTTTGATATATTTTAATTTAGTCAAATTTGTTAATGCTTTAATTTATGCTTTTGAGTTTGTTGTAATTCCGGGAAAGGCTTTTCCAATTCTGAAATTCTTAAAAGTTCTCTGGTGTGCATGTGTGTATACGTGTTTACTTTTATAAATTCATTGACTTTTAAATAAATTTCTAAACTTTTTGGAATTTATGCTCTATAGGGTTCAAAGTTTTGCTTCAACTTTTTCTCTAGTTGGACATCCACTTACAGTAACCTTTTTAGTGTATGGATGCGCAGGTTATTCTTTAACTTCAGAGGTAATCATGATATGTTATTTTATTGAGTACTAGCTAAAAGTTTCTTTTGTTTTATTTAGGATTTTCATAATCACGAAGAAATAAAAGATCTGATGGATGAAAATTGCATTTTGAAGGCAGATATTGCTATACTCAGACAGGAAATATGCACAATGAAAAATGACAACCTGGAAAAAGAAAATAAATATCTTAAGGACGTTAAAATTGTTAAAAAAAACAAATGCTGCCCTTGAAAACTATATAAAACTCAATGAGGAATTGATAACAAAAACAGCATTCCGGTATCAACAAGAGCTTAATGATCTCAAAGCTGAGAATACAAGGCTCAATTCCAAACTGTTGAAGGAAGAAGAAAGCAACAAAAGACTGGAAGCTGAAATTGAATCTTATCAGTCTAGACTGGCTGCTGCTATAAGTAAACATAGTGAAAGTGTGAAAACAGAAAGAAACCTAAAACTTGCTTTAGAGTGAACACGAGATGTTTCCGTACAAGTAAAAATGAGTTCTGATATTCCCAAAGTAGAAGATAAGAATGAGTTTCTTACTGAACAACTTTCTAAAACACAAATTAAATTCAATACCTTAAAAGATAAGTTCCGTAAGACAAGAGATACTCTCAGAAAAAAGTCATTGGCTTTAGAAACTGTCCAAAACGACCTAAGCCAAACACAGCAGCAAATAAAGGAAATGAAAGAGATGTATCAAAATGCAGAAGCTAAAGTGAGTAATTCCACTGGAAAGTGGGGCTCTGTAGAAGACAGGATATGTCAACTCCAATATAAAAATCCATGCATTGAACAGCAACTAGATGATGTTCATCAGAAAAAGGATCATAAAGAGATAGTAACTAATATCCAAAGAGGCTTTATTGAGAGTGGAAAGACAGACCTCATGCTAGAAGAGAAAAATAAGAAGCTAATGAATGAATGTGATCATTTAAAAGAAAGTCTCTTTCAATATGAGAGAGAGAAAGCAGAAAGAGTAGTAAGTATCAAGGAAGATAAATATTTTCAAACTTCTAGAAAGAAAATTTAAACATTTGGTTCTGGATACATGTTGAACTTAGTGGAATATAAAAATCAATGGATAAAAGTGTGTTTACCATACTGTATAATTCCATTTACATGAAGCATCCAGAAAAGATAAATGTATAGGGACAAAAAGTAGATTAATGTTTGTAGAGGGCTGGGGCTGGAAGCTGGTAGTGACTGCTAATGGGCGTGAGGGATCTTGCAGTGATGGAAATTCTCTAAAGTTGGATTGTAGAGATGGCTGCACAACTCAGTAAATGTACTAAAAATCTTTTAACTTTAAGTTAAAACAGATACATTCTATAGTATGTAAATTATATTTCAACAAAGCTGTTTTAATAAAAAAAGGAAAAATGTGTTTACTATGCCATCTTAGAAACATGCCTCATTTCTAGGAAATAAAAGGTAGAGGTGAGAGATGATTTACTTTGAGAAAAGACATTGTGTCACCTATGAAATTTTATTAGGCACAAAGTCATATTTTAAGGTAGATAGTTCTGTACTGCTGAAATAATAATTTTAATGACTTTATGTTGCCACATGTTAAGACCATAATATAGGTATAAATGGAAATGTTTACACCTGAAATGAGTATTTTCAAATTAAAATTTAATTGATTTTCTTCGACACTTAATTCTAGATTTCCCAGATGAACTGAAGTGTATTGCTGTGTCTTGTAATACCTTGCTTTAAGTAGCTTTTTATGTATTTTAGTTGGTATATCTTTGTTATTATTCATATTAATTTAACAAATCTGAAAATATGTCAAATTACATATTTTTATGACTATGTAATATTTTAAAGGCACCTACTTGTTATAAAATCATAATTTAGGATACATGTGGTAATATTTAGAAAATCTATATTTGGTTTAGTCTTCCCACTGGTATTTATAGTTTACTTTGAATATTTATATTAATAATTAGCTGATAATTTTTATTTCAAGGCTCAATGACTATCATTGGAATATAATTTTGTTCAGTAGAAAGATACTTGTAGCTGCCTGTGATTTATGAGTTAGGCATTAGATCCCTATGTTCAGACTGAGGGGTGGCAGGCTTCACGTACAGTGGGAATGGAGTAATCACAGGAGGGAGTTGTAGGAGCTCTGAAGTCAGAGAGGGAGGTAAAGGCCTGTTTACCTAGGATCTCAAAGGCCATTGGAATTTTACTTTTATTCTGAGATAGGAATCTGTTGGAAGGATTTGAACAGGTGATTGAATATGTTAGGAACTTTGAGGTTGAGTTGAGCTTCTAAGATGATTGAATGGTGGGATGAATCTGTTGTGTAAGTAAGAGAATACCAATTTGGCAGGAAGAAAACATATTCTGCATCCCTCACTGAATTCAGTAATAAATAAAAAATGTGTACATGTGATTAAAAGAAGGTGAATTGATATGTGTGGTGATAATTTTCAAAGTAGGTATGTTAGAGTTAAATATTATTAACATAATTTAATAATAAGGCAATTTATAAAATTAGTAACAAAAATATTTTCTCAGGTGGTTGTGAGACAACTTCAACAAGAAGCGGCTGACAGCTTAAAAAAATTAACTATGTTAGAGTCTCCACTGGAAGGTATATCACATTATCACATTAATTTGGATGAGATACAGGCCCCAAAGAAGAAATTATTTCAAGTGGAAAGTCAGTATGTATGGAGCTTAACATGTCAACTGTATTCTGTAGCTAGTTGAATTATATAACATGTTTTAGGATACTAATTTTGGCAGAAGCTTGATTTTTTATTTTCATTACAATGAATTATTTCCATTTTACTATCTTTATAATGTACTTATTTTTTTTATATTGTGACTTTCATTCTACCATTTTGAAAAACCATTACATACGTTTTCTCTTACAATATGTACCCTTGGAAAAGTTGAGAATTATACATCATTCCTCATAGAAAACTGACTTTTTTCCTGTTAAAACAGTATTTTTAAGTAATTTTTGTATTTCTCGGATGAGGCAGGCCAGATTAAATCAGAGGAGAATGTTTCATGGAATGTTCCAGAAAATTGTCTTATTTCTTCACTTTTGTGAATGGACACAGAATCTGTGTCTATTTATTTCACAGATTCTAGGTTAACTTGTACAGAAAGGCCATTATACTATTCTTTGAAATGTGCATGTTTTAGGTTAATTTACAAACTATTTGAAAAGTTAGGCATTTTCTTTGTCTTTTATTTAAAATATACTATAAAACTGTAGAAATATTTAAATTTGAGATAGCATGTACATCAAAAATTGAGAGTTGAGAAAATTATCTTGATCCTGCCTTTGGATTTTAAAAACAGTTTCACTGAGATAACATTCACATTTCAGAGAGTTCAACCATTTAAAATGTACAACTCAGTATCTATTAGTATATTCACAGCATTTTCATCACCCTGGAAAGCAACCCCACATCTCCTAGGCATGACTGCAGCCTTCCTCCATGTCCCTCCACCTACCCCTGTTGTAGGCAACCACCATCTATCTACTTTTGTCTCCATATGTTTGCCTGTTTGGCATATTTCATATACATAGAGTTATACAATATTTAGTCCTTTGTGACTGGCTTTTTCACTTAGCATAATGTTTTCAGAATTCATGTCTGTTTTAGCACACTTTGGTAGTTTATTTCTTCTTATAGTTAAATGATATTCTATTCCATGGCTATACTGGTTTTCCATTCATTCATCGATTGATGGACCTTTAGGTTAGTTTCCACTTTTTAGCTATTATGAAAAATGCTGCTGCAAACATTCACTTACAGGTTATTATGTGGACACGGGTTTTTATTTCCCTGCCATTGGACTTTATCCTCAGAGTTAATTGGGCAGATATCAGCACTTGTCTTGCTTATGCTATCCTTTCTGCCTTCTCAGTCTCTGTTCATCTAGCCTCATTCATTCAGACGTGGCAGACAATTTATTGTTTTCATGAAGCTTTCTCTGAGTGTTCTCTCATTGACTTTATGCGTTAGCAATCGTTGTCTAGTCTGTGCAGAAAAACTTAATCCTTAATTTTACATGGCTTTTATTTTTTTATGGAAGATAATTTTCTCTCATTATAAATTTGCTTAATGGGGGAATAATATATAATATGTATGCCACCTATCCTTGCATACATTGAAAATATTTTAGCTTAGAAGTTTGCAGCATTCAATTCAATCCTTTATGCCATACGAATTGTTTCTGCTTTGAGACCTTGACACAGTAAAGTTTATATTCTAAATGTATTTTTAGCAATTAAATATCAAATCTAAACCAATTAGTCTAATACAGGAGATGCATTCAATCACGTGTTTATGTTTTTCTCTCTATGAAAAAGAATCTAAATTGGCGTTTTTTCACTATGCAGTCAGAACTGTATTTCTGGACTGTTACCAGTTTGTCAGCTGAACAGTTCTGGCTGTAGCTTCTCTGATGACGGATAGCACAGCCCCTCAATCTGAGTGCTCAGCAGAGTGCTTGTGAAGGCAGCACCACAGCAACAGTTGCTCAGAGTTAACGGATTCAGGAGCCTTGATTTAGCAATAGAGTCCAGGGTTTTCAGCTCAGTGTCTTTAGTCTGTCTTTGCTGGTCATGTCAGTTATGTACTATTCAATCCAGGAGGTGCTGTTTACATTGTAGTACATACATAGTCATTGACTAATGAATCATACAGAGAGAAAAGTAAGTTATAAATTATGTCCCCCATTTGCTGCAACTCTCAGTGGTAAGAATGATTCAGTTCAGCTATAGGAGAGTACTTCCATTGGCATGCCACCTGCCTACAATACACAATTTTGTTAAGATATACAATAAAATTATTATGCTAATAGCAAATATTTTATGTAGCTCACTATGTTCCACATAGTCTTCTAAGTGCTTCATGTTAGTCTCCAGTTAAACACCTGGATTTGGAAGGCTGAGGCAGGAGGATCGCTTGAGTCCAGGAGTTTGAGACCAGGCGGAGCAATATAGTGAGACCCTGTCTCTAAAAAAAAATTTTTTTTTAAACACTTAGCTGAGGCATGGTGCTGCATGCCTGTAGTCCCAGCTACATTGGGAGGCTGTGGTAGGAGGGTCGTTTGAGCTTGGAATATTCAGGCTGCAGTGAACGGTGATCAAGCCACTGCACTCGAGCCTGGGTAACAGAGGGAGACTCTGTCTCATAAATAAAACGTTTTGTATAGATTCCCATAGAAGTGAGTTAGACATCAGACATAGAATTATTAGCCACTTTGATGTCTACCTTCGGAGTAAAACATATAATAAGGGGCAGCTTTAACCATCTCAATCAATAGCCTCCAACTTCTCGAGAAGGTTCCTATTTCATGAATTTCTAAACAAGAGACAACCTGGATTAAGACATTTGGTGGACACCATTTTGAGATGAAGAATCTTGAGTGGGAAGAAGGGAGATCTCTACTTACTGAAGCTTCCCAATGACATAGTTAAATGTCCCCCAAAAGAAACTTTAGAACAAACCTTTCATCATGCCATATCTCTATGGAAAAGGAATTTCTTTAAAAGAAAACAAAGGCAAACAATTGATAATCTGATTCACATGGGAAAGTTTTCAATATAAAAGAAAAAGAGGGCTGGCTACCATGGCTCATGTCTGTAATCCCAACACTTTGGGAGGCTGAGGTGGGTGGATTACCTGAGGTCAGCATTTCAAAAACAGCCTGGCCAACATGGTGAAACTCTGTCTCTACTGAAAATACAAAAATTAGCCAGGTGTGATGGTGTGCACCTGTAGTCCCAGTTACTTGGGAGGCCGAGGCAGGAGAATCACTTGAACCCAGGAGGTGGAAATTATAGTAAGCCGAGATGGTGTCACTGCACTCCAGCCTGCATGACACAGTGTGACTCCGTCTCAAAAAAAAAAAAAAAATTAAAAATGTAAAACAAAAAAGGGACAAAGTATACTGGTCCAAAAAAGAAGAAAGAAAGAAAAAAAGGACAAAGTATGCTGGTTAGTATCATAACAGTGAGATAGTCCCCCTTTGAGATTAGAAAATAACAAAGTAACATTAATGAGAGCCAACATAAAATAGACAAGATTCACTATCTACAAAAGTAATCTGCACCAAGTAGCAATGTATGAGCGTGTGGTTGAGAACATTGTCTATAATATGTGTACTAGAAGGAAGAGACCTCAAGAAGAAGTTCAGAGCTGGAAATATAGATTAGGGAATCTAGGTCAAAGTTTTGAGATTTTAGGAGTCCTGAGAGAATGTAAAAAGTGAAATAGCCACTGGGCATGGTGGTCAGACCTGTAACCCCAGCACTTTGGGAGGCTAAGGCAGGCAGATCATGAGGTCAGGAGTTCAAGACCAGTCTGGCCAACACAGTGAAACCACGTCTCTACTAAAAATACAAAAAATTAGCTGGGCGGGTAGCACATGCTTGTAATCCTAGCTACTTGGGATGCTGAGGCAGGAGAATAGCTTGAACCCACGAGGTGGAGGTTGCGGCAATCTGAGATCATGCCACTGCACTCCAGCCTGGGTGACAGTGGGAGACTCCATCTCAAACCAAAAAACCAGAAAAGGATAGGGCTGTGGAACGAGGTTGCTAAATTTAGAAATGATCGGGGTCAGAGGAATAGAAAAGGATAGGGCTGAAGAACAGAGATTGCTGCATTTAGAAAGGAAGTGGGGTCAGAGGAATAGAAAGGGTTAGGGCTGAAGAATAGAGGTCACAGCATTTAGAAAGGAAGAGGGGTCAGAGGAGCAGAGGGAGCATTTGGTCACTGCTCTGCTGAGCAAAACAGGATAAAGTCCTTCATGACCCTTGGGCTTTTTTATTGGAATTATTAAAAATCAGATTTCAGTATAAAAAACACAATAAGTGATGAAAAATAGATTTCTGAATGAGACCATGTGTCATAGAGTCCAATGGAAGGGGAGAAACAGGATAATAGAAAAGCCACAAAAAGTAGACAAAAGTTGTTTTTGTTGATTATAGAAAAAATAAACTTTATTTAAAGAGAAATGGTTAAGAGAAAGGGAAAAACTGAAACCTATGGGTGAATACTTAGAATGACAGTATTTAGCTCAGCCTGAAGACAGATGAGGATCAAAAATGTAATGGGAACTAGATAAGAGTTTTCTAAAAATTGTCTTAGTAAGATGTAATTTAAGAAAACTTGGAATATCTTAAACTATTAAAGACAATGTTTATAGAGCATCTTTAAAAACTAAAATGTAAATATAACTACTCTTTTTTTTTTTTTTTACTAACCCTTAGTATTTTGTGTGTAAAAACCCTCATTTGTAACAAACATTTTTGGCAGTTTAAATTTCAGAAAAGATGATGAAAATTTGAATCATTTTTAGCAGTTTTAAGAAAAGTGACTATTTTTGAAATCTGCCCTTATTGGCATCAGGTTTATAAAATGCACTTTATACACCTGCCTATATACATATTACTCATCCACTTATGAGAAATAATATTTTTGAGATAAAAGAGGGACTCTAGATTTTACAAAAATAATTTTAAACACTTTTTTTAAGCCTGAAGAAAAAAATGAAGAATTAAGAAAACTTTTTGAGTTAATATCATCACTGGAGTATAATGTGGATCGAATAAGAAAGAAAAATCATGAATTAGAAGAAGAGGCAACTGGGTATGGTTTTCATATTCTAGAACATGTTAACCACTTATTAATTGATTTAGCTCTAATTTTACTTGACTAAAACATAGATACAAATTCATTTTATGTTTGCATTTTCATAATTAAATGAATTCTATTTTAAAATGTATTTCAGAAACTCACAGCACAACTTTTTAGACATTTGTGTCATGGGGTTGGGAGTCAGCTGAGCTGCTGGGGCAAGGTGAAATTTTTTTTGAATGCCAAAATATTCTTTTTTTTTTTTTTTTTTTTTTTTTTTTTTTTTTTTTGAGAAAGAGTCTGGCTCTGTTTCCCAGGCTGGAGTGCAATGGCACGGTCTTGGCTCACTGCAACCTATGCCTCCAAGCAATTTTCCTGCCTCAGCCTCCTGAGTATCTGTCATTACAGGCATGTGCCACCAGGCCCGGCTAATTTTTGTATTTTTAGTAGAGGCGGGGTTTTGCCAAGTTGGTCAGGCTGGTCTCAAATTCCTGGCCTCGAGATCTGCCCACCTCGGCCTCCCAAAGTGACGTGAGCCACCATGCCTGGCCACTTATTCTTTAATGATTTTGAGAACAATGACCAAGCCTTGGACATATAATGTCCAGTACACTCTTCATTATCTAGTTTGAATTTTTATTTCTGAAGATGTTTTTTGCTGTCTGTGGTCATTTTTTCTTTCTTTTGTAGTATCCTCTGCTGCATTCAAATTCTTCAAAGAAGACCTGTTTGTGTCATTCTTTAACAACAAATTTATCTTGATATGTAGCTTATATTTTGTTTCTGCTTCTTTTTCTTTTAGATATAAAACATATCATGGAAATTTACTCATTGTACATGAGTACCTCTGTTGTATACATGAAGTATACATGTTATTAAACTTGTTTTACATAAATAAATTTCATATATATAAAAATATATGTATAACTTGAAGAAAAAGTAAAATGAACATTCATGCTTTGATCACAGATTTTTTTTAAAACAATGGAATCTGTCTTTGAAGCCCTGAACACAGCTACTTTTCTATGTATTTACTGAGCACTTAATTTGGTTTTCTGATTCTAATCAACATTTTTCTGTCATTGCCTTTCTCTACATGGTTTTGTATCTCTTTCATTTTGTTGACATTATGTCAGCAAAGGTGTCTAGATCTCTTCTTCAAAGTCTTTAAATCGTCTCACATCTCTCTGCCCCTTTCCTTTTTTCTAAAACTGCCTGTTTCCTTTTTCTCCTCAACTCAGATATTAAAGATGTTTTCTTCTCTTTTTCTACATTGAATGATCTCCTTGAGGCTTTTTGTGTGTACTTTTTCTTCTTCTGAGAGACTGTGGCCAATGGGCATCAAAATGTATTTTTGTGTCTTTTTCAAATGTATGTGTTTTACTTTTTTATCTTGGTTACTCATCTCTGGGTTATGGCTTATATTTAGTAATAGGTTATTTTACCTAGCATACCAACATGGACTTGAGTAGTTTATTTACAAAAAGTGTATGGTTAGGCCAGGTGTGGTGGCTCACACCTGTAATCCCAGCACTTTGGGAGGCCAAAGTGGGTGGATCATTTGAGGTCAAGAGTTCAACACCAGTCTGACCAGTGAAACCCTATCTCTACTAAAAATACAAAATAATCCAGGCGTGGTGGTACACACCTGTAATCCCAGTTACTTGGGAGGCTGAGACAGGTGAATCACTTGAATCCAGGAGGCAGAAGTTGTAGTGAGCTGAGATCACACCATTGCACTTCGGCCTGGGCAACAAGAGTGAAATTCCATCTCAAAACAAAACAAAACAAAAACACTGTATGGTTATAATATCACTTTATCTGCCATTTATGTCATAAAATTGTTCTTCATATTATTTATCTAAGATTATAATTTCATATAGAATGCTTTAAAACTATGTTCAGTTGAAACTGAAAGGAACATAGTTTATAGATTTGTTTCTTTGATATGCCATAACATAATATATGTTTAAACAATTATTAAATATTTACTCTTAAAAATACTTGACTTACTAATTCTGTATATTTCTGCAGATATAAGAAACTCCTGGAAATGACAATAAATATGTTAAATGTATTTGGAAATGAAGACTTTGTTTGCCATGAAGACTTAAAAACAGATCAACTAAAAATGGATATTCTGATTAAGAAGCTAAAACAGAAGGTAGTTTTTTTTTAAAAATCTTAAGGTCTAGATTACATGTGTGAGACGTGCAGGTTTGTTATATAGGTAAACGTGTGCCATGATGGTTTGCTGCACCCATTAATCCATCATCTAGATTTTAAGCCCTTCAGGCATTAGTTACTTATCTTGATGCTCTCCCTCCTGACCCCAACAGGCTCCAGTGTTTGTTGTTCCCCTCCCCGAGTCCACATGTTCTCATCATTCAGCTCCCACTTATAAGTGAGAAGATGCAGTGTTTGGTTTTTTCTTCCTGCATTAGTTTGCTGAAGATATCAGCTTTGGGTTCATCCATATCCCTGCAAAGAGCATGATCTCATTCATTTTTATGGCTCCATAGTATTCCATGGTGTATATATACCACATTTTCTTTATCCCATCTATCACTGATGGACATCTGGGTTGATTCCACGTCTGTACTATTGTGAATAGTGCTGCAATGAACATACAAATGCATGTATCTTTATAGTAGAATAATTTATATTCCAACGTATGGTAATTTTAAATCAGTTTTGGTATTAAAAATCACGTAATTTTGGAAAATATTGATAATGGAAAAACCCAAATTCTGCCAAAATATGTGGAGAAAATAGAAGGTAAATATATTTTTTCAGACTTTAAATGCCTCAGGCTCTTAGTTAATCTTCCCCAGATCTAGGAAGATCTAGAAGGGGAGAGATTGGGCTACATTAGTGAGAGCCATTTCAATCTCTTGGCCCTGCAGCAGCTATTTCAAAATATGTCAAAAAATATATTTAGGGGTAAAATACTTTGATTTCTTTCAGCTTCTTCTCTCTGTGATGCTGCACCAGAATCAAGTTAGAAAGGAAGCCACATTATAAGAGTTAATACAACCCATCTGATGAGACCCTTTAGATAGAAATTGGGACCAAAGAGAACAAGGTCTTATTCCTCAATATAAGTCTGTCAGTGCTTTAAGCAGTGAAAGAAAGATTTTTCATTTAATTTTACAGGCTTGATACTAATGAAAAGGATAGCTTTTAAAATATAAATCTCTTTTTCTATAGAGGACATGCTGTTGATTCTCTTAGGCCTTGAACCCTGGCCAGTGATCTGAAACCAAGCAGTACCTGTCTCCAGATCACTAGTACCAAAATCACTAGTACCAAATTAATTTGGGGTAGGGGGCAACAGGTTTATTGAGAAATAATGAACACACTGTGCAATTCACTCATTTAAAATATACAATTCATTAACTTTAGTATTTTCAGAGAGTTATGCAGTCATCATTACAATCAATTTTGAACATTTTCATCACCCTAAAAACAAACCCCACATCATTTAACCATCTTCACTAGTTTTCCCTTCCTCCCTCAGCCCTAGGGAACCACTCACCTTCTTTGTATAGATTTGCCTATAAGCCTCTGAAATGAAAAGCAAGTGGTCTGCTGGGACTGGCTTATTTCACTGAGCATAATTTTCCATGCTACATCTGTGCTGTAGCAGGTATTGATGCCGGGCTTTTGCTCCTTGGTTCAGCTACATCTGGGTTCTTCTCTCATGACCAGGAAAAATTAAGCACGCAGACACATTGAGGAGGACAAAATTTATTATGTGAAAGGAAAGCTCTCAGCAAAGAGAGGGGTCCTGCAAACAGGTTTCCACCTCACAATTGAATACCAGGAGCACATGAGCTGAAGCGGCCAGGTTCCTCCTCTGCATAAGGCGTGAATTCCTGGTGACTCCACCCCATCCCCCCAGTACATGTGGGCCTCCGGTCTGCTGCAGGCATGTCCAGGCAAGACAAGTCCAGGTTCTCTTATCTGCACATAACATCTGGTGTAAACACTTGTGGGGCTGGTGGGAGATTCTCTGGGGACCCTTCCGTATCTGCCTAGGAATTTTGCTGTCTCCTCCTAATACAGTATCTGTACTTAATTTCTTCTTATTGCTGAGTAATATTCCATTGTATGGATACATCAAACATTTTATTTATCCATTGGCCAGGTGATGGACCTTTGGGTTCTCTCCCACCCAAAGGTGATAGACGTTCCGGTTCATTCTACTTTTTGACTCCTATGAATAATGCTGCTGTAAACATTTTTGTATGAGTTTCTGTGCTTGTGTATGTTTTTATTTTTCTGGAGTATATACTTATGACTGGAATTTCTGGGTCATATGGTAACTTCATGCTTAACCTTTTAAGGAGCTGCCAGTTTGTTTTCCAAAGTGGCTGTGTCATTTTACATTCCCAGCAGCATTAAATAAGAGTTTTAATTTCTTTACATTTTTCCTAACACTTACTCTTTTTTCTTGAACAAAGATTTTATCCTGTGATGTGAAGTGATGCCACATGTGGTTTTGATTTACATTTTCCTAATGACTAATTACGTTAAGCATCTATTAATGTGCTTATCCATCTTTATATCTTCTTTGCAGATATATCTATTCAAAATCTTTGCCCATTTTTTAAAATTGGGTTATCTTATTGTTTATTAATTGCAAGAGTTATTTATATTTCCTATATATGTAAGTCCTTTATCAGATATACGCTTTTCAAATACTTTCTTCTACTTGGCGTCTTACCTTTTCACTTCTTGATACTGTCTTCTCAGGCACAGCAGTTTTCAATTTTGAAGTCCATTGAATGCATTTTTCCTTTGGAGTCATAGCTAAGAAAACACTGCCAAATGCAGTCACAAAGATTTATGCCAGTGTTTTCTTCTGAGGGTTTTATAGTTTTAGCTGTTACAGTTAACTGTTTTATTTTGAGTTAATTTCTAAATAAGATATTTGGTCAAATTTTATTTATTTTTTGCATATGGATACCCAGTTGTCCCAGCATCATTTGTTGAAAAGACTATTCTTTTCCCATTTTGTTCTTTTGTTAAGCTTGTATAAAAGCAATTGACTGTAAATGTGCAGGTTTATTTTTAGATTATCAGTTCTTAGCTTGTTTATGTCTATTCTTATGTCAAGGCCCAATCGAATTGAATGAGAAGTTTTTTTCAATCATGTTGCATATTACCAGTTGTCTTATGTCATAATAAAAATTAAATTTAGTGGAATATCTTTAACTTCACCTTTTGTGTCACAAAGGAGTCTCTGGCCAGCTTATACCTTACTTCTTCTAAGACATGATCAGAAGCCAGGCTTACAAGGCACACTTAATTTCTTTTTTCTCCATTTAAACCTTTAGTCTCTTTTCCATTGCCTCCCACTATAGTTATATTTTCAGTAAGTTTTGGTCACAGGATCTGCTGACATAGTCTAATATTAGTGCATTATGTTTTACTAACTCATTATAATTCATAGAACCTTCCATAGATGTTTACCATCTAGGAAGGAGAAGTTTAAGTCTGAACCACCAGCTTTCCTCAGTGGAAATCAAGTGAAGTAATCATCTTGCAGTTTACAGACCCTCTTTCCTCCTGGTAGCTGGTTCTCTTGGGTAACACTGTGGCTAATCCTTTTCTTAGTGCAGATCTTGCATTCTCAGAAACCACAGTTCCCTGTATTGACCTCCTTTTACTGAAACAGAGATGCACAGCTCTGCTTTCTAGCTCAGTAGAGGATTCTTGGAATAAAAAGTTTAACTCATTCCAAGAAAAGGTCTTAGGAGTGCAGCACTTCAAAATCAGGTAATGTTCAGGCAATTTATCAGAGACACATAGTAGATTAGTATTTTGACTTTCAAAATTTCAGAGCCAAGTTGTGTGCTATAGAGAAGCATTGTGGCATAGCATAGAGATGGGATGGTCTTTACTTCTCCATACAAACAAGCTTGGAGTAAGGTAAAGGAGAAATTGCATTTGATGTCTTAACACTCAAAACACACTATGCTTATTTTACTTCTGTGAAGACTAAAAATCATTCCATAATATTCTCCTTATTTCCTCATTTAGAAAAGAAAATGAAAATTGAATACTAGGTTGATTAATAAACACTCAAATCTTCTTCTTTTAGAATTTTAGTTAATTGAAATCAGGTAAATGTCTGATTTTGGCTATGTCACCAAGTATTTCTAATTGTTTTTCAAATCATACATCTTCTTGCTTCCCAGTCTTATTTCCTAACTTGAGGGGAAATTGTAAAGAGACACCCTTGCCTTGTTATCAGAGCTCATAATTGAAGGAGTTTTAGGAAAATTCCTCCTCAGCAGCTTATGTCTCTCTCCTGGTTATCTGCTGCTTCTCAATAATGTTTGACATCAATAAATACATATCAACATTTATTAGATCCTGCTTTAAAGGAGACTCTTTTCTGCTGCATAAGTTATGTTTCCTGTTGTCTCTTTTTAAAACTTATTTTCCTAACAATTACCCAGAGTTTTGTGGCTTGAAAGAAAAACATTTATTTTGTTCATGAACCTGTGGTTTGGGAAAAACTTGGCCAGGACAGCTTGTCTCTGCTCCCTTCAGCTTCCCTAGGAACAGCTGATCAGTTGGGGAAATGGAATCCTCTGAAGCTTTGCTCTCCCACGTGTTTGATGGTTGATGCTGGCCATCGGCTGTAAACTTGGTTGGGACAGGCAGCATGAACACTGACACAGGCACTTTCAGGCTCTCTTTGTGGCCTAATGGCTCTCACAATTGGGGCTGGGTTCCAAGGGAAAACAGTCTGATATAGGGAAGCCACATGGTATCCCTTTCTCTACATTCTACTCATTAGAAGGAAGTCAGTAAGGCTGGCCCATATTCTTTGTTTTAAATGGGATGAATGTAGCTTCTCTTTTGTTTTAATTGACACATATATACATAAATATGGGCTATAGGGTGATATTTTTATACATGTATATAGTGTGTAATGATCAAGCTAACTAGCACATTTACTACTTCAACCATTTTTCATTTCTTTCAATTGTGAACATTCAAAATCTTTTGGCATTTTTAAAAATATACAATAAGTCATAGTTAACCATATTCACCCTACAATGACACAGAACACCAGAACTCATTCCTCTTATCTAACTGTAATTCTGTATCCATTAACCAGCCTCCCCTCCCCTAGTTCTATGAGTTTTTTTTTGTTGTTAAGAGACAGGGTCTTGCTAGTGTAGTCTGGGCTCTGGGCAACTGTAGTCACCCAGACTGGAGACAGTGGTTTTATCATAGTTCACTGCAGCCTCAAACTCTTGGGCTCACGTGATCCTCACACCTCAGCCTCCTGAGCAGCTGGGATTATGGACATGCCCCATTGCACCTGTCTGATTTTTTACTTTGTAGAGATATTTCCCTATGTTGCCCAGGGTGCTCTGGAACTTTTGGCCTCAAATGATTCTCCTGCCTTGGTCTTACAAAGTGCTAGGAAATTACAGGCATCAGCCATATTGCCCATCCCTCAATTTTCCTTTAGCTCCCACACATGAGTAAGAATGTGCAGTATTTATCTTTCTGTGTCTGAACTTAACAAAACATCCCTCAGACTGATCCACGTGGCCACGAATAACAGGATTTAATTCCTTTATATAGTGAATAGTATTCCATTGTGTTTGTGTGCCACAGTTTTTCATCCATTCATTTGGTGATGGACATGTAAGTTGATTCCATACATAAGCTGTTGTGAATAGTGCTACAGTAAACATATGAGGACAGGTATCCTTTTGATCTATTGTTTTCTTTTCTATTTCCTGAATACCCAGTAGTGGGGTTGCTGGATCCCTCAGCAGTCCCATTATTAGTTTTTTGAGAAAACCTCATGTTGTTTTCTATAGTGGCTGCACTAATTTACCTTCCCACCAACAGCATGTAAGAGTTTACTGTTCTCTGGAGCCTCACCAGCATTTGTTATTTTTTTTTTTGTCTTTTCAATGATAGCAATTTATTCAAATTGAAGCAAGATTATATCACATTGTAGATTTGATTTATATTTCCCTGAGGATTAGTGATACTGAGCATTTTAAAAATTATTTATTGGCTATTTGTATTTCTTTTTCTAAAAAAGTATGGTTAGATATGTTGCCCAATTTTAAACTCAGATTTTTTTTTTTTACTGTGAAGTTGTTTGAGTTTTTTGTATATTTTGTATATTAGTGTCTTATTAGAGGAATAGCTTGACAATATTTTCTCCCATTCTACAGGTTTTCTCTTCACTCAGTTGTTTGCCTGACAGAAGCTCTTTAGCTTAATGTAGTACCATTTGTCTATCATTTGTTGTTTGCCTATGCTTCTGATGTCTTACCCATAAAAATCTTTGTGCAGACTAATGTCCTCAAGCATTTTCCCTATATTTACTTATAGTAGTTTGATAATTTTGGACCTTACAGTTCAATCTTCAATCAATTCTGAGTTTATGTTGTTATATGGTGTTGCATAGGAAGCTAGTATCATTCTTCTCCATATGGATATTTAGTTTTCCCAGTGCCATTCATTTGAAGAGGCTGTCCTTTCTCCAGCATATGTTCTTGGCATGTTCATCCAAAATCAGTTGGCTGGAAATATGTGGATTTATTTCTGAGTGCTGTATCCTATGGCCTTTACCCCAAGAATCATTACTTCTTAAAATGCAATTCAAATTAGCATGAAACATTTGCAGTTTAAGGAAAGGCTTATGGCATCAGAATCCTTAATTATAGAATTGTTATTTTGTGTTTTTTTTAGATAGGGTCTTTCTCTGTCATCCAGGCAGAAGTGCAGTGATAATAATTCACTGCAGCCCTGAACTCTGGGTACAAACCATCCTTTTGCCTCAGTATCCCAACTAGCTGGGTCTACAGGCATGAGCCACCATACCCGGCTAATTAAAAAAAAAATTTTGTAGAGATGGGGGTCTCACTATGTTGCTCTGGCTGATCTCAAATTCCTGGCCTCAAGTGATCTTTCTGCCACAGCTTTTTAAAGTGCTAGGATTACAGGCATGAGCCACCATGCCTAGTATAGAGTGTAATATTATTTTCAAAGTCTTATTCCTAGAGCCATTTATTGACTTTGGCCTAAATAACTCAATATGATATCTCTGAAACTTTTTTTGAAATATTGTGGGGAATGATAATGAAGGAAGGGGGTTAGACACTTTTTACTAGGAGATAACTTTGTGCCATTTAAGGAGGAACAAAAATAAATTATCAGAAAAATAAAAGTAAGATGAAGTACAAAAGTTCTGTGGCAAAGATGATGATACTAAAGAATATATTTTTGTGACTCATGGTAGCTTTAACTTTGTTCTTAAAATTCTGAGTAATTTAAGGGTTCACATTTGAAGAATCTGATGCATTACTGATAACATTTTATTACAAGTGAATGCATTTTAAAATTTGCTATTGGTTTTGTATTAGATTATTCTCAGCCTACTTCATTATCAAGCTATACTATTTTATTCATGCAGTTTGATGATCTTACGCCAGAGGAGGAAGCTGTATCTTCAAAATGCGTCAATTTGGCTAAAGACAATCAAGTTATTCAACAGGAGTTATTATCTATGAAAAAAGTACAACAAGAATGTGAAAAACTTGAGGAGGATAAAAAGATGTTGGAAGAAGAAATATTAAATCTTAAGACACATATGGAAAACAATATGGTAGAACTTAGTAAACTACAAGAATATAAATCAGAGCCAGATGAAAGGGCAATACAGGCAGTAGAAAAATTAGAAGAAATCCATTTACAGGTTAGTTGTTTAAATCAGGTAAGTTTACCTGTAATGTACTTTCATTTATTTCACTGTAAATTATATTTTGGAGATATATATATATATATATATATATACACACACACACATATATATATATACATATATATATGTATATATATGTATATATATATACATATATATATGTATATATATATATAGTGTTTCCTCTGCCTCTCTTGTAGCAATCTGCTTTGTAGAGTTCTAGAAAAAAAATGGCATCTGTTTTTTCTTTTAAATATTTAAATTTCCATTATTATTATAAGAAAATCAATCTTTCAGAGTAATGATTCTCATTATGGAGTCATTTGATGATTAAGGCCAGTTGGCATAGGAAAAAATTGTGATTTAGAAATTATGTGACACTTTTGAATTGGTCTTAAGCTACATTGTTCATTAATCACTTTTTAAAATTATGAAAGGATTCTATTACTTTTTATATGACCAGATTACATGAATACTAACATAATTATGATTTCAAATTTTTATAAATCAGACTTAATTGTGAATTCAGTTATTAGTTTTGATATTGCTGAAATATTTTAAGCTTCAGCCTCTTTTTTAACATATTCAAAATTGCTCTTTGAATCACTGACTCAAAATGAAAGGCAACAAACATACAATAATTAGGTTATAATTGTTTTAAAAGTGTATTCTTTTCCTTTGTTTTAGTTACAAGCACAATATAAAAAACAATTAGAGCAGTTAAACAAGGATAATATGGCTTCACTAAATAAGAAGGAACTCACACTTAAAGATGTGGAATGTAAATTCTACAAAATGTAAACTGCTTATGAAGAGGTTACAACTGAGTTAGAAGAATATAAGGAAGCCTTTGCAGCAGCATTGAAAGCTAACAATTCCATGTCAAAAAAATTAACGAAGCAAGTCCAAACATACACTCATAGAAAATGAATTAAGCTCGTTAATTTGTTTCAAAAGCATAATTTTTAGTGAGATGGCTTCAGGATATTACTAGGAAGTGAATGCTAATTTGACAATGTAATTTTGAAAAATAATGTTAGTAAATAATCTTACCTTTAAAATGTTAGTCAAAGATAGTTTTTGTCTCTCCTCTCATTTTTTTTTTGTTTGTTTTTGTATGGCTTTTTCCCCTGAAAAGTCTCATGTAATTAACCTGATCTGTTAGTTTTTTATTAAGTATTTTGAAGCTTTATAATTAATGAAGTGATCCTGTTATAAAATTACTTGTCAGAATTTCCCTAAATAGAAATATTAATGTGTTTAATTTATTTTTCAGTAGATCACAACCTAAATGCAAAGTGGTACTGCTACTCTGGGCACAATCATTTTTGATTGTGATCTTTAGTATTATCATCAGAGGGTGCCTCAAGAAAGACTATTTGTGTAACATATTCAAGATGTTACAGAAAGGCATCCTTGTGAAATAGGGAATAATTATCACAGGAATTTAAAGAAGTGTAATTCACAAAGCAGTTAAAAAATAACACCTTGTTCAGCCTGAAGGGGTGTGTGGAAGGCAGAAAGAACATGCCCCACCTCCAGGGCCTTGGTCACAGTGTTGAGAGCTAATTGCCTTCAGAGATGCTTTAGTTCTTTTTGATCACCAACCAGACAATCTAGTTCTCCCCTAGGAGTTGTTGCTCTGAATTATTCCTCAGTGCCAAATGTTTAATTGGTCCTAGATAATGGGTGAAATGTACAAGGGTGAAATCTAAAACTGGTTTACTAAACACAAGTATTCCTAGATTTTTTTTTGTTCATTTTAGTTTTCTTAACCTACATTAAGGAGTACAACATGATGTTTTGATATAATTATTTCTATTGAAGTGGTTCCTATAATCAAGCAAATCAACATATTCATTTTCCCACATTATTACCCTTTAAATACAAGTATTTCTAATGGAATCTTCAGAATCTTACAAGTAGAGCCATTTTAGAAGGCAGCAAGTTTTGCCTGTTGAGCCATACATGACTGATAGCCATTTCTCTTCACTGTCTACTTTGTTTGAACTGCTTGTTCAGTATAAATCACCTTAGAAACCAAGGTGCTTCTTTAGAACGATTTTAAAATTATAATTCCTTACAACAGGTATGCTCTTACACATCTTCGGTGTGAAAACACTGTTTAGTGGGTAATTTGGTTTACTCTCAGAGCAAGTTTTTAAAAACTGCAAGTCATTAAGAATCATTTAAGGAAAAATGAAATACTAAGCATTTGTCTTTGTTATCTTTACGGATCGAATAAGAAAATAACAATGATCAGCACCAAGCTCCTTATGGAGAAAGAGCAGGTGAAATATTTTCTCAGCTCTCTTCCTACAAGGTGAGGCTGAGAGTCACCTTGTGTTGAAAATCTTACTAGTATAGGACTCAACAGAAAATATATTCCCCAAATGCCAGTAAGAATTCCTACTTCAAACCCTCAGACTTCAAATAACTGCCAGAACTACTTGACTGAGGTTAGTTATATGACCGTTTTTCTTTAGGGTTTCATTTCTCTAGTGTAATTCTTGTTTTTAATTTGGTGAGATACTGAGTTGTTCTGTTGACTTTTGCATGTTAAGTAAAGATCATAATTAGCTGTGTTAACACAGAAAGGAAATGGGAACTTTACATTTTTTAATTCTCTGGAGCTCTCATTTTCAAGAGATATCCATTTGCTAACTTTATTCAATAAATGTGACTAAACTGACACGTTTAAAATGTCTTTAAAAGCTGCATATAGGTTAGGATTTAGAAATTGCATGTTATTGCCTGATAACTGATGATATACTTTGAGATGCTTTGGCTTACTCTCTAATTGATTGTAGTTTAGCTGTGGTTCATACCACATTTTTTTTTCTTTTTTTTGATGCAGTGTCTCACTCTGTCACCCAGGCTGGAGTGTCTTGGTGCCATCTCCACTCACTGCAACCTCCACCTCACGGGTTCAAGTGATTCTCCTGCCTCAGCCACCTGAGTAGCTGAGACTACAAGCACCCACCATTACACCCAGCTAATGTTTGTATTTTTAGTAGAGACAGGGTTTCTCCATATTGGCCAGGCTCTTCTTGAACTCCTAACCTTGTGATCTGCCTGCCTCAGCCTCTCAAAGTGTTGGTATTACAGGCATGAGCCACCGCACCCGGCCCATGTCACTTTTAAAGTTTATTTGCACCGGCCAGGTGCTGTGACTCATGCCTGTAATCCCAGCACTTTGGGAGGCTGAGGCAGGTGTATCACGAGATCAGGAGTTCAAGACCAGCCTGGCCAAGATGGTGAAACTCCATCTCTACTAAAAGTACAAAAAAAAAAAAATTAGTCTGGTGTGATGGTGGGCACCTGTAATCCCAGCTACTAGGAAGGCTGAGGCAGAGAATTGCTTGAACCTGGGAGACGGAGGTTGCAGGAGCTAAGATTGCACCACTGCACTCCAGCCTGGGTGACAGGGCAAGACTCCATCTTGAAAATAAAAAATTTTAAAAAAAGTTTATTTGCACCATCTCAACTCTTCCCACCCATAATCACAACTGAATGATTGGCATCAAAACACTTTGCCACATATGGATGTTTATTATTTAGTAGAATCCAAAATAATTGCATTTTATGAATTAAACAAAACACTAAAATGTTCATTTCCATTTTTATTTTAAAAGCTTTGTGCTTGCCCAGGCACGGTGGCTCACACTTGTAATCCCAAAATTTGGGGAGGCCGAGGCAGATGAATCACCTGAGGTCAGGAGTTTGAGACCAGCCTGGCCAACATGATGAAACCTGTCTCTAGTTAAAATACAAAAATTAGCAAGGCGTGTTGGCAGGCATGTGTAATCTCAGATACTCAGGAGGCTGAGGCAGGAGAATCACTTGAACCCAGGAGACAGAGGTTGCAGTAAGCCAAGAACATACCACTGCACTATAGCCTGGGTGATGGAGACTCCATCTCAAAAAAATAAAAATAAAAAAATAAAAATATTTGTGCTTTTCTTACATAAGAGTACATCTTCTGACTATAAAAATCCTGGAAGAAAACCTAGGAAGTACTCTTCTGGACATCATATTTGTCAATTAATTTATGGCTAAGTCCTCAAAAGCAATTGCAAGAATAACAAAAATTGACAAGTGTGATCTAATTTAGCTAAATAGCTTCTGCACAGCATGAGAAATTATCACGGGATTAAACGGACAGCCTAAAGAATGGAAGAAAATATTCACAAACTATGGATATAGCAAACGCCTATTATCCTATTATCCAGAATCCATAAGAGACCTAAACAAATCAACAAGCAAAAAATAAATAACACCATTAAAAATGGGCAAAGGACATGAACAGACACTTCTTGAAATAACACATGTAGTGGCCAACAAACATTAACAAATGCCTACCATTGCTAATCATCAGAAAAATGCCAAACAAAACATCAGTGAGATACCATTTCACACCAGTCCGAATGACTTTTGTTAAAAAAAATAATAAATAAATTAAAAAAGATTTTGGGGAGGCTGTGGAGAAAAGGGAACACACGCTGTTTGTGGCAATGCAAATTAATTCAGCTACTATGGAGAGCAGCTTGGAAATTAAGAACTAAGAATGACTGTTGGATGCAGCAACCCCATTACTATACTAGGGGTATACCAAAAGGACAATAAATCATTGTAATAAAAAGATGCATACACATGTATGTTCATTGCAGCACTATTCACAATAGCAAAGACGTGGAGTCAATCCAGGTGCATCCACGGTAGATTGAAAATCCAAGGTAGATTGGAAAATTCCATATATACCATAGAATACTATGCAGCCATAAAAAGAACAAAATCACGTCATTTGCAGCAACATGGATACAGCTGGAATCCACTCTTCTAAGCAAACCAACGCAGAAACAGAAACCAAATATCTCATCTTTTCACTCATGTGGGAGCTACACATTGGGTGCGCATTGTCATAAACATGGGAATAATAGACACTGGGAAATAAGAATGGGGAGGAACAGAGTGGGCCAGGGTTGAAAAACTACTTATTGGGTCCTATGCTCACTACCTGTGTGATGAGTTCAATTGTACTGAAAACCTCGGCATCCGTAAATATGCCTTTGAAAGAAACCTACAGAGGTACCACCTTAATTCAGAATACAAACTAGAAAAAAAAGAAAGGTTTACTATAAGTAGAGAATAGAAATTTCTTTTTAAGATAAAATTTATTGAAGTAAAAAATGGATTAAACTTTTATAAAGGGCAGAGTTTTCTAAGAATTTCAAAGCAATCCATTCACTGCAAAAGATGGTTTTAATTACTTAATCTTTTTTTTATTATTATACTTTAAGTTTTAGGGTACATGTGCACAATGTGCAGGTTAGTTACATATGTATATATGTGACTTGATGGTGCACTGCACCCACTAACTCGTCATCTAGCATTAGGTATATCTCCCAATGCCATCCCTCCCCCCTCCCCCCACCCCACAACAGTCCCCAGAGTGTGATGTTCCCCTTCCTTTGTCCATGAGTTCTCATTGTTCAATTGCCACCTATGAGTGAGAATATGCGGTGTTTGGTTTTTTGTTCTTGTGATAGTTTACTGAGAATGGTGATTTCCAATTTCATCCATGTCCCTACAAAGGACATGAACTCATCATTTTTTATGGCTGCATAGTATTCCATGGTGTATATGTGCCACATTTTCTTAATCCAGTCTATCATTGTTGGACATTTGGGTTGGTTCCAAGTCTTTGCTATTGTGAATAATGCCACAATAAACATACGTGTGCATGTGTCTTTATAGCAGCATGATTTATAGTCCTTCGGGTATATACCCAGTAATGGGATGGCTGGGTCAAATGGTATTTCCAGTTCTAGATCCCTGAGGAATCGCCACACTGACTTCCACAATGGTTGAACTAGTTTACAGTCCCATCAACAGTGTAAAAGTGTTCCTATTTCTCCACATCCTCTCCAGCACCTGTTGTTTCCTGACTTTTTAATGATAGCCATTCTAACTAGTGTGAGATGGTATCTCATTGTGGTTTTGATTTGCATTTCTCTGATGGCCAGTGATGATGAGCATTTTTTCATGTGTTTTTTGGCTGCATAAATGTCTTCTTTTGAGAAGTGTCTGTTCATGTCCTTTGCCCACTTTTTGATGGGGTTGTTTGTTTTTTTCTTGTAAATTTGTTTGAGTTCATTGTAGATTCTGGATATTAGCCCTTTGTCAGATGAGTAGGTTGTGAAAATTTTCTCCCATTTTGTAGGTTGCCTATTCACTCTGATGGTAGTTTCTTTTGCTGTGCAGAAGCTCTTTAGTTTAATTAGATCCCATTTGTCAATTTTGGCTTTTGTTGCCATTGCTTTTGGTGTTTTCGACATGACATGAAGTCCTTGCCCATGCCTATGTCCTGAATGGTAATGCCTAGGGTTGCTTCTAGGGTTTTTATGGTTTTAGGTCTAACGTTTAAGTCTTTAATCCATCTTGAATTGATTTTTGTATAAGGTGTAAGGAAGGGATCCAGTTTCAGCTTTCTACATATGGCTAGCCAGTTTTCCCAGCACCATTTATTAAATAGGGAATCATTTCCCCATTGCTTGTTTTTCGCAGGTTTGTCAAAGATCAGATAGTTGTAGATATGCGGCTTTATTTCTGAGGGCTCAGTTCTGTTCCATTGATCTATATCTCTGTTTTGGTACCAGTACCATGCTGTTTTGGTTACTGTAGACTTGTAGTATAGTTTGAAGTCAGGTAGTGTGATGCCTCCAGCTTTGTTCTTTTGGCTTAGGATTGACTTGGCGATATGGGCTCTTTTTTGGTTCCATATGAACTTTAAAGTCGTTTTTTCCAATTCTGTGAAGAAAGGCATTGGTAGCTTGATGGGGATGGCATTGAATCTGTAAATTACCTTGGGCAGTATGGCCATTTTCACGATATTGATTCTTCCTACCCATGAGCATGGAATGTTCTTCCATTTGTTTGTATCCTCTTTTATTTCCTTGAGCAGTGGTTTGTAGTTATCCTTGAAGAGGTCCTTCACATCCCTTGTAAGTTGGATTCCTAGGTATTTTATTCTCTTTGAAGAAATTGTGAATGGCAGTTCACTCATGATTTGGCTCTCTGTTTGTCTGTTGTTGGTGTATAAGAATGCTTGTGATTTTTGTACATTGATTTTGTATCCTGACACTTTGCTGAAGTTGCTTATCAGCTTAAGGAGATTTTGGGCTGAGACAATGGGGTTTTCTAGATATACAATTGTGTCATCTGCAAACAGGGACAATTTGACTTCCTCTTTTCCTAATTGCATACCCTTTATTTCCTTCTCCTGCCTAATTGCCCTGGCCAGAACTTCCAACACCATGTTGAATAGGAGTGGTGAGAGAGGGCATCCCTGTCTTGTGCCAGTTTTCAAAGGGAATGCTTCCAGTTTTTGCCCATTCAGTATGATATTGGCTGTGGGTTTGTCATAGATAGCTCTTATTATTTTGAAATATGTCCCATCAATACCTAATTTATTGAGAGTTTTTAGCATGAAGCGTTGTTGAATTTTGTCAATGGCTTTTTCTGCATCTATTGAGATAATCATGTGGTTTTGGTCTTTGGCTCTGTTTATATGCTGGATTACATTTATTGATTTTCGTATATTGAGACAAGGTCTCACTCTGTCACCAGGCTGAAGTGCAGTGGTGCAGTCTTGGCTCACTGCAACCTCCACCTCCTGGCTTCAAGCAATTCTCCTGCCTTAGTATCCCAAGTAGCTGGGACTACAGGTGAGCATCACCACGCCCAGCTAATTTTTGTATTTTTAGTAGAGATGGGGTTTCCCCATGTTGGCCAGGATGGTCACAATCTCCTGACCTTGTGATCTGCCTGCTTTGGCCTCCCCAAGTGCTGGGATTACAGGTATGAGCCACCATGCCTGGCCATTGTTTAACCTTTGTTCTAATAAAACACTTCCTTTCTAAAACCATGTATATGCAATAGATTAATATTAACTGCATTTTTGTCAGATTACTCTAAACAGCATTACACATATACATCCTCTGTTATCTAAACTTAAAATAAGTAGAAATTTTACTTTATTAATGTGATTATTTTTCTATTTAAGCAAATTTCAAGTTATGTCTAGTCACTAAAAATACTAAAGGCCACATTTTATAAGAGATACCTTATTTTCATGATAATGTTTTTGTTTAACTTAAACATTAATATTATTTTTACTTATTGTAGATGGAGGCAGACTGTGTAGAACAAATAATTAGAGAAACAAAGAGAAGTACATTGCCAAAATTTATTAATTAAATTCAGGTTTATTTTAGAAATAAAGTGTAAATAGCAAATGACATTCCTTTTCATTCTTGGGTTAGTAGATACTACATCAAGCATTTTTTTCTTACACACTTCAAATGAAAGATGTGAAAACAAAAACTTTCACAGAGAAGACTGTACTTATGCACCATAAATTCATCATGTTCCATAGCTTAAACAATTCCTAAGAAGTCTGGGCATCTCTTTTTCACTGGCTCTACACTTTCTTAAGTTTCGCCATCTTCATGGAACTGTCAGCCAGCACACTGAAACGATTCTCAGAAAACAAAGGCATCATCAAAAAACAAAGGTTTTGGTAGAGATTGAAGGCCAACAGACCTAAGACTCATTCAGAAATACTTAGCTGAGCAATAACCCTTCATAAGCAGTCACTTGACAGGTGGCCTTTTAAATCTCCTGTCATTTACTGTGTCAGTGGCTTACACTTGTTCTCAGGAAAAGTTCCATATTTTTCACCATGAAATAAAAACTCCCATGTCAAAGTAATTCTCATCAAGTTACTCAGCCTTGTCTCTCACCAGTTACTGCACTCTGCCCTTTGCTTTAGCACCAAACTGGATGGAGTGGAACTCTGCAGGGCTCTTCCTCACCTCAGGCTCTTTGCCTTCGCCTCTTCCCTCTATCTGGGAAACTTTTCCTTGTCCTTCAGGTATCAATCTATGTTATCTCCTCCACCAGAAAGCCCATGATATTGACATAAAAGTGGGTAGATGTCACTTCTGTGTGTTCCAGTAGTGCTCTGCTCTATACCTATCATAGTATCTATGACTCTATATGGACATTGCCTTCCTGTCTGTTTTTTTAGTTTATAGCATATGATTGTTGAGAGGTGGACCATGCCATCTTCATCTTGCAATTCCAGTGCTGGTTCTAGTACCTTAGCATGTGGCTGTTGATTACATGAATGAAGAATGAAAAAGCTCTGGTATTTAAACACAATTAGAATTAATGCCATGTGTAATTTATTAAATAGTAATTTTGTATTGTAAATGTACATACATATTTCTCATTCTTATTAAATCTGATAAAGTTCTCAACTCTTTAGTTTTTAAACGCACACTTAGTTAACTGAAGTGTTTTAGGTAAAGAACATAATTCTTTATTTTTCTTTCCAGCTGTTGCTGTGTTGGACACTTGCTCCCATCTACTTTCTTCTCTAGAATCCACTGGTAAGCCATATCTAACAAAGAGAATATTTAACCATAAAGTCTTAAGGAAAAATTGTATGATTTAAAGGATTATAAAACTTTATTACCAGGCTATTTACACGTTTTAATTGTTTCTCACAAAATATATAACATTACAACATTTACTGAAGTAGGATATTTTTGTATCATATGTATGAAGATAATTTATAGGGTATTTTAAATGATGTTTTTTAACCTCCTTAAGTTTTAAGTGGATCTTGCAAATGAAAACCAGTATTATTGAGTTTGACATACTCAAATTGCCCAAATGTCAGCTGTTTAAACAACCACGTCATCGATACTTTAGTAAAGGTTAGTAAAGGTCATCAAAGGCTTATTTGCATTTTACAGTTTTTATTACTTAGGAGACTTAAGGAGTACCTGCCAGGTTTGTCCATACTAATGTTATGATTTTCTTTTTGTAGTTCAACCGTATTTTGTATGGAGATACTTTGAGGCTCTGTAAATATCTGGTAACTCCTCAGAACCCACTAGATTTAGCATTTCATGGATGACTTGTGTTTGAACAATTATTACTTTGATGGTTGCCAGATGATTATTTTCTTATTCTCTTCTTTGTTCTACATGGAGAAATAAAACCAATAAATAAGGGAGAAGGAAAGCTCATGATTCTGATGCTCCAATTCCCCAAGATTAGGCCAGTAGTAGACATTCCAACCTGACTTTATGTCTCTTTGATTTGTCTCCATTACTCTGTCAGCACTTTTTTACTTTCTGGCAGAAGATTTTCTAAGCTCATCTTGTATTTTCTCTGCCCCAGCTCTGGAATGAGTAATTTTTTTTAGAAGCAGAAGTGGAGCCAATGAGGAAGCACAGGTGAGCCCTCCCCAGCGTGTACTCACTGGTCCCCAACAGAAGAACTGCTGCCACATCCACTGAGGTACCAAGAAACTAGCAAAGGGCCTTCTGGCTGTCTGGGGAGAGTCCTCAGGTGGTCCCTGTCTGAGACTCAGAGGTTCTGGATTAGTCTTCCTGTAGCCTTTGTGTTGTGTCTTTAGATCGGGGCTGTATGGGAAGGGCCCTGGGAGACCCAACAGCACAGGGTGTCTCATTTGCCAAATGTCCCTCCCTTCCTCACACTCTGACACTCAGGAATAGGGTAGATGGCGTGTCCAGGCAGTGTCAGGCCACCTCACTGTCTCCTTTGAGATGGGGCCAGAGGGCCTTTGGGGTGAGTGTGGAGCTGGGAACCTGGAGCCTGAGGCCAACTGTCTTTCCCTGTGTCTTGGAGGAAAGACCATGTCTCAAAAAAACCCCCAGGGCCTAACCTCTGGCCACACACGCAGGGAGGGAGGGTCTATGAGCTGAGGGGGACATTGTAATGAGACTTTGAGTCCCGTTGCTCATAGGCCTGGTCAATGGACCATGGTCAGAGATGACTTGGTCACCAGGACCTAGTCATTTGGGACCTGATCAGCAGGGGCCTGGTTAGTGGTGGTCTCCTCAGTAAAGGCCTCATCAGTGGGGACCTGGTGACCTAGTCATTGGAAGCCTGGTCAGTGGGGGGACCTAGTCAGTGGTGGCCTTATTAGTGGGGCCTGATCAGTTGGAACATAAACAATGAAAAACTGGTTGGTGGGGCATATACAGTATACCAGGGTCCTGGTCGATGTGGGGCCTTAGTGGCTTGGATCCTGGTCAGTGAGGGCCTGGTCAGAGGGGGCTCAGTCAGCTGGGGACTCATCCATGGAGAATTGTTCAGTGAGGGGTCGGGTGAGCAGCAACCTGGTAAATTGTGGTCTTGTCAGTGGGAACCCGGTTTTGTCAGTGGGGACCAGCTCAGTGGAAAATTGGTCAGTGGGGTCTGGCCCATGAGGCCTATTAAGTGCGGGCCTGGTTAGGAAGACATGGTCAGTGGGGACTTGATCAGTGGGACCTGGTCAATGGAGGAGTGGTCATTAGGGGCCTCATCACTCATTACTGGGAACCTGGTCAGGGGCGGTTAGTCAGTACGTGGCCTGCTAGCCACTATGTGACCTCAGGCAGGGGGTTTGACTGTGGAGCCTCCTTGCCTCCATCTGCAGGGAGGTGAGTCAGGGAACCCTGGAGGGTGGCTGGTAAGAGAAGGTGAGAAAATGTGTTGAATCCAATATTGCTTGGCAGGCCTACAACTTTACAAATGACCTGTGTTCCACCTAGAGAGGATGCCAGCCCTCTCAGCAATATGCAGTGCCCCTCCTCTGTCTGCATCCCCAGGACCACCATGGGTGGGGAGGGCAGAGATTGGGGAGCACCTATAGAGGCTCTAATGCTCTAAGGTGACAGTGATGAGGACCTGGGGGCACCCATGAGTGGAGAAGCTAGGCCTGTCCAGAGAAGCAAGACAAACACACACATACACACGCGCACGCACACAGGCACACATGCATACACAAACACATTGCATACCCACATGTCAGTTCAGGGGACAGAGGACCCTGACGCTGGGCCCTGTTGACCCAAGCAGGCTCCCGTTGTGGTGGGTTGTGTCACCCCACAGTGTCACTCTTCCTGAGTCCCCATGGCCTCTGTGTTGTGGAGAAGTTAGAGACACACAGCAGTGTCTGTGAGTAGCTCTGCGTGAAGGACCATTTTCTAGATGACAGGCACATCTCAACAAAGCTCACTGATCAGACTCAGGTGAGTGGGACCTGCTCTCCTCTCTTCCTCCTGGCTTGGGGACAGTCACTATCAGGTGTGCGGTTTTGGCCTCTGGGCAGCTACTGAGGGTAATCCCTGAACACTCACCGGGTGCCTGTTCTGTGCTGACAGTCGTCTCATTCATCCTCACAGCAATTCCATTCTGCATCTTTTCTCATCACCCCCGTGACCACCCAGGACAACCCCATCAGGGCCCTGTCACCAGGCCTAGTCCAGCTCCATGATAACCAAGACACAGGTCCAGAGACAACCATCCTGCATCGTGCCTGCATCTGACCCCCCTTGGTGGGTAGTGACCAGCACAACATGGAAGAAGCCAGGGCAGCATGTGGCCAGCTGCTCTGCAGCCCCAGATGGCTCCTGGGCCTTGGAGAGTCATTCTTCAAGGGGAAGCTGGTCACTTTGAGGTCCCTGAAGGGAAGGGTGAACGTGCATCCCAACAGCCCTGGTAGCCAGCAGCATGCCATACATCTTCTGTGGTTTGACTGTGGAGCCTCCTTGCCTCCATCTGCAGGGAGGTGAGTCAGGGAACCCTGGAGGGTGGCTGGTAAGAGAAGGTGAGAAAATGTGTTGAATCCAATATTGCTTGGCAGGCCTACAACTTTACAAATGACCTATGTTCCACCTAGAGAGGATGCCAGCCCTCTCAGCAATATGCAGTGCCCCTCCTCTGTCTGCATCCCCAGGACCACCATGGGTGGGGAGGGCAGAGATTGGGGAGCACCTATAGAGGCTCTGTGTGACAGAGGCCCCCTCCTGGGGCACAAGTCCCATACCTAAAGCATCCTATCCCAGTCGGACCTCATCCTGAGCCCTGGGAGGGGAGGGGCACCATGTGCCCCCCTGCTGCAGCCAGGATTACCACCCAGGGGACTCGGCCTTCTGTGGCCTTGGCCAGACTTAGAATTTGGGCCAAGACAAGCTTACTCGGAGCAACTTCTCAGTACCTGGGGCCTGTGCATGCCAGGCAAGGACAAGATGGCTCAAAGAGCAACCAGCCACCTCTGCAAGGGTGTGCCAGGAGCAGGTGGAGCAGTCACCAACCTCACCCACTCAAGGAAACAGGGATGGCCAGGTTCCCACAGCCTGAGTGACCACCACAAGACAGCTGATGGAGTGGAGACCTGAGGAAAAGCAGATGGCACTGGGGCTCTACCTCCAGGGCAGAATAACTGATTTACCCTGACTGGCAGGGAGTGATGTTGGTGGCTGGTCCATTGGCTCCTGGCACACCCTTGCAGAGGTGGCTCGTTGCTCTTTGAGCCAGCTTGGCTTTGCCTGGGATGCATAGGCCTCAGTGCAACAAATGTGCTGCAAATGGAGCCACATAGAGGAAACAAGCAGAAGGCTCAGGAGCGGAGTGTGTGCCACCTTTGGGGCTCCAGTCCATGCATCGGGGCTTCTACAGCACTGTGGGCTTCTCAGGTGCCAAGAGGCAGACCACAGGCCATCTTGAGGAGGACTCTGGTAAGAGCTTCCTTGGATATGTGGATGATGTCCAGAATTTTGGCCTGGTGTCCCTGAGACAGCACTAACAGGTCCACGACTGGGTGCAGGTTCTGCCTGGGCTGATTGGCAAAGAGCTCACTGACAGTGTGGAAGGAATCTATGGTGAAGTGGACCTATGTTCCAGTGCAGAAAGGGCCCAATCTGGTAGATGAACCACACAGCCAGCTTCTGGGTGCAGGCACAGTGCCACATTTTTTGTCACTTCCTGATGTGCCCCACCAGCACTGAAGAGACAGCCTGGAGACAGGGCAAGAGGAAGGCTGAGAAGGATGAGATGGTGAGTGCCAGATTCTTCCTGGCCCTGAGCCCTCCCTCAGGGTGACACTCAACCTTTAGGAGTGGGAGAGCAAGATTGATGGCTTCAAGTGCTTCACCAAGAAGATGGACAACAGGGCACTCAGCTCAACTTCACAGCCAATGAGTGGTGACAGGCTTTAAGAAAGAGCGTCTTCCAAACTGTCAGTGAGCTCTTTGTCAATCAGTCCAGGCAGGATCTGGACCCAGCCATGGACCTGTTAGTGCTGTCTCAGGGACATCAGACCAACATCTTGGACATCATCCACATACACAAGGAAGCTCTTACCAAAGTCACAGAGAGCAGGCAACATGTGGCAGAAGGGAAGACAGAGATGCAGAGGCTGATGATGTCAGAATCACAGGAACAGGATTTCTTTGGCCGCTTTGGCTGAAATTCACCACTTCCATCCAATTCCAGTGAGAGACATGGACTCACAGATGCAGCATTTCTTGCAACAAGAGATACTACTTTTTCAAAAAGCTACCCAGGAATTGATAGTGTTGAATGACTCGATACTCAATCGTGGACTGTTTCCAGTTCAAGGATACTTTCTACAGCAGAATAATAACACTAGCAAAGAGCTAGTACAAGGATGGTTTTGTGCTCAACTGAAATCCAGCTGAATACAAAATTGTATAGGAAACAGTTAATATGGTGATAGAATAGAAACAGTAGCAAATGTGAATTAAATCATGCTATGAATGCCTAAACTACTGCTGTAACTTTTGGAAAAATGATAATACCACTTTATTGCTTTTTGAAGTATGAATATTTTAGTGTATATGCTCTAGACCTCAAACCCTATAAAGAGTCTCAAAGAAGTTGGCTGGATAAAGCCTGCTGTGGATGTCTTTATATTCAAATATTGATGATGCAATTTGAATATGTGTCTCTACCGAATCTCATGTTGAATTATATTTCCTAATGTGGAAGGTGGATCCTGGTATAAGATGATTGAATTATGAAGGCAAATTTCCCATGAGTGGTTCAGCACCATCCCCTTGTAGCATTCTCACAATAATGAGTGACTTCTCATGAGATCTGGTCACTGAAAACTCTATGTCCCCTCCCTACTCTCCTTGTTTTCCCCTTGCCATGTGAGACAACTGATTCTTTCTTTGCCTTCCATGATTATTGAAAGATTTCTGAGGCCTCCTAGAAGCAGAAGCACTGTGCTTAGAACCATGAGCCAATTAAACCTCTTTTTCAAAGTAAATCATACAGAAAATGGCAAATGGGGACTTAGAATATTGCTATAAAGATACCTGGAAATGTGGAAGCAACTTTGGAACCAGGTAATGGAAGGAGATTGGAAGAGTTTGGAAGGCTCAAAAGAAGACAGATAGATGAGAAAACTTTTGGACCATCTTAGAGTCTGGCTCAATGGCTGTGACAAAAATCCTGACAGAAACATGGACAGTGAAGGCCAGACTGAGGAGGTCTCAGAGAGAAATAAGAAGCTTTCTGGAAAATGTCTTTCTTTTGGATATGGAAAGCTTACACAATGCCTGTACCATCATTGTACCCTAGAAGCAGTGAACTTGCTTTTTATGTCAGAGACTTATAGGCAAAATAGACTGCAGCCTTGACCCAGATGAGACTTTGGACTTTGTAACTTTGAGTTAATCCTGAAATGTGTTAAGACTTTGGGAGACTGCTGCCAAGGCATGATTGTATTTTGCAATGTGAGAAGGACATGAGATTCATGGGGTCAGGGGCAGAATAATATGGTTTTTCTCTATGTCCCTACCAAAACTCATGTGGAATTATATTTTGTAATGTTAGAGGCGGGGCCTAGGTGGAAAAAGATTTAGTCATAAAATGGTGCATGTAGATACTTCACGAATGATAAAGGACCATCACCTTGATGCTATCCTCCTGATAGTGAGTGAGTTCTCATGAGATCTGGTTGTTTAACAGGCTGTGGAACCTCTTCCCTCACTCTGTCTTCCTCCTACTCCTGCTTTAGGAGACATCTCATTGTCCCTTGGTTTTCTGATATAATGAGGAGTCTTCCTGATTCCTCCCAGAAACAGAAGACACAATGCTTCTTTCACAGCTTGCAGAATCATGAGTCAATTACACCTCTTTTATTTACAATAATACAGAAAATTAGAACTGCAGAGAGGAGCTGTGAAATGTCTTCAAGGCCTTTTTCCCTTTGTCTTGGCTATTAGCACAGGGCTTCTTTATATGCAAATTTCTGAAATCTTCTTGAATGTTTCCCCTTAAATGGGATTTTTGTTATTGCTACATAGCCAACCTGCTATACAGATATCTGAAAAAGTAGAAGCAGGCTCAATAGTGGGTAGCAAACAAAGATTGGAAGGGCTTGGAGGGATTAGAGTATGAGAGGGAGTGGGAGGGAGTGATTTAATCATGGATGGGTACGGGTGGATGTGGAAGGGAAAAAGGGGTGGGTAGGGTGGGAGGGATTAGACTGGCTGTACGGTGGTGGGAGGGTGGTGGGTAGTAGGAAGGGGGAGTAGCCTGCTGCAGAGGCAGAGCCTCATGGAAAATCCCTACTAAGGAAGTGCACCTGTGGCTTTGCAGGTCTGAGCCCCCATGGCTTCTTTCATAGACTGGACTAGTGTTGAGTGCCTGTAGCTTTTCCACACGGAGGGTGCAAGCTGTTGGTGGGTTTATGAATCTGGGATCTGGAGGGTGGTTGCCCCCTGCGTGGGGGCTCCAAGTCCATATTTTCTTTCTGCACTGCCCTAGTAGAGGTTTCCCAAGAACTCTTCATCTGCAGCAGGCTTCTGCCTGGAAACAGTGGGAGGTGGGGGTGGGAGTCAGATCCTTCACCAATGGTTAGGCAACGTCTTCTTGATGTTGTCCTCATGACAGTGTGTTCTCATGAGATCTGGTTATATAACAGGGGGTGGCACCTCTTTCCTCTCTCAGTCTTGCTTCTACTCCTGCAATGAGATATTTGAAATATCTCATTGCCCCTTGGCCTTCTGATATGATTGGGAGGCTTCCTGATCTGATCCTCCCAGAAGCAGAAGCCACTATGCTTCCTTTACAGCCTGCTGAATCGTGAGCCAATTAAGCCTCTTTTTTTTATGATCATACAGAAAATTAGTGCTATGAAGTGGAGCCATTAAATGCCTTCAAGGCCCTTTCCCCTTTGTCTTGGCAACCAGCACTCAGCTTCTTTTCATTCAAATATCTGAATCCTTCGTGAATTTTCCCCCTGAAAATGGACTTTTCTGTTTTACCACATTGCCAGGCTGTGATAAAGATAGCTGACAATGTAGAACCAGGTTCAGAAGTGTGTAAAAGACAGAGGTCAGAAGAGTTGGGAAAGCTTGGAAGACAGCAAGATGAGGAAAATATTGGACCACTATAGAGAATTGTTAAATACTTGTGATCAGAAGGCTGACAAAAGGGTAAACACTGAAGTCCAGACTTAAAAGGTCTCAGATGAAAATGAGGAATTTCCTAGGAACAGGAGCCAAGATTACATTTGATTGGCCTTAGCAAAGAAGCTGGCTGCACGGGGACCCTGCCCTGGAGGTCTGTGAAACTATGAACTTGGGGGTGATGATTTAGGATGTATCTGGTGAAATAAACATCTAGGCAGCATAGCACAACAGGTGTCCTGTCTGCATTGAACAGCCTGTGTTCTTATGGGTGACCTAAGAAATGACTTCAAGTTGGAACTTCAAGTGGAGATCTAAAGTTTGGAAAATTTGGAGCCTGGCCAAGTGGTCAAAAAGAAAAGCCAATTTTGAGGGGGAAAATTCAAGAAGGCTTAGGGTATTTGCATAAAAAGGAACCCACTGCAAATAGCCAAGACAATGGGAAACCGGACTTGAAGGTATTTTAGAGATGTCTGCAGCAGCCCTTGTTGTCACAGGCCCTGGGGCCTAGGAGAGAAGAATGGTTTCCTAAGCCAGTCTCATGGCCCTGCTTCTGTACTCAACCTCAGGACACTGCTGCCTGCATCCGTGCAGCTCCAGCACCAGCCATGGCTGAAAGATGTACAGGTACAGCTTGGGTCATTGCTTCAGAGGTGGCTCAAAGTCTTGATGGTTTCCATATAGTGTTAAGCCAGTAGGTGCACAGAGAAAGAGATTAGAGGCTTGGGAGCTCCCGTCTAGACTCCAGAAGATGTATAGAAAATCCTGGATGTTCAGGAAGAAGCTTTTCTAAGAGACAGAGCCTCATGGGGAACCTCTACTAGGGGAGCAAAGAAGGGACCTATAGGGTTGAAGCCCCCACACAGGGAGGCATCATTCTCTAAACCCCAGATTCATAGACCCACAAACAGCTTGCACCCTCAGTGGGGAAAAGCTACGGCCACTCAACAACAGCCCTGTCCATGAGAGACAGCCGCGGAGTCTGAACGCTGCAATGCCACAGGTGTAGATCTGCCCAAGGCCCTGGGAGCTCAGCCCTCACAGCCCTGTGCCATGGATATGGGACAAGGATTCAAAAATGATGATTTTGGAGCTGTAGCATTGAGTGACTGGCCTGCTGGGTTTTGGACATTTATGTATCCTATGAGTCCCATCTGTGTTTTGTGCTTCTTTCTAGCAATTTTTTTTTCTGTTGGCTGGGAATGCTTACCCATTGCCTGTACAATCCTTGTACCTTGGAAGTAGTAAAGTTTCTTTATAATTCAGTGACTCATGGGCAGAAGGGACTGTACACTTGTCTCAGATAAGACTCTGGGCTTTGGGCCTTTGAGTAGATGCTGGAATGGGTTAAGATTTGAGAGACTCTAGGGAAGCCATCATTGCATTTTGCAATGTGAGAAAGACATGAACTTTGGGGGACCAGGGACAAAATAATATGTTTTGGCTCTCTGTCTCTACCAAAGCTCATGCGGAATATTAATAGGAAATGTTAAAGGTGGGGGCTGGTGGAAGGTGATTTAATCATGGTGAAGAGTGGAGTTTGGATGGTTGGGGAGCGGGGAGGGTTGGGGAGGATTGGGGGGCGAGGAGGGTTGGAGGGGATTGGGGGTGGGGAGGGTTGGAGGGGATTGTGGTGGGGTTGGGGGTGAAAGGCAGAGGTGGGGGTGGATCCTTCACAAATGGTTAAACACCATCTCCTTAATGCTGTCCTTCTGATAGTGAGTTCTCTTCATGATTTTGGAGCTGTGAGATTGAATGAACACTGACCTGCTGGATTTTGGATGTCCATTGGGCCTGTGGTCCCATTTATGTTATTTTTCTTGGAAATTTCTTCCCTTTGGATTGAGAAAGCTTACCCAATACCTGTACCATCATTGTACCTTGAAAGAAACAAACACCTTTTTAACTTCAGGGACTCATAGGCAGAAGAGATAGTAGCCTCGTCTCAGATAAGACTTTGAACTTTTTACATGTGAGTTAATGTAGGAATGAGTTAAGGCTTTTGGAAACTTTTGAAAAGACATGAATGTATTTTATTCTGTGAGAAGGATATGAGATTTGGGGGGTCAAGGTCAGCATAATATGATTTGGCTGTGTGCCCCTGGAAAAACTCATGTGGAATTGTAATCCCAAATGTTGGAGGCGGGACCTGGTGGGAGATTATTTAATCATGGATGGGAGGGGTAGGGGTGGAAGAAAAAAGGGGTGGGTAGGGTGGGGAAGAGTAGGCTGTCTGTAGGGTGGTGGGAGGGTGGTGGTTAGTAGGAAGGGGGAGTAGCCTGCTGCAGAGGCAGAGCCTCATGGAAAATCCCTACTAAGGAAGTGCACCTGTGGCTTTGCAGGTCTGAGCCCCCATGGCTTCTTTCATAGACTGGACTAGTGTTGAGTGCCTGTAGCTTTTCCATACTGAGGGTGTGAACTGTTGGTAGGTCTATGAATCTGGGGTTTAGAGGATGGTTGCCTCCTGCATAGTCACTCAAAGCCCTTATTTTCCTTCTGCACTACCATAGTACAGGATTCCCAAGAGCCTCTGCCTCTGCAGCAGGCTTCTGTTTGGAACAGTAGGAGGTGGAACTGTGTTGGGGGGTGGATCCTTCACCAATGGTTAAGCACTATCTTCTTGATGCTGACCTAGTGATAGTGAGTTCTCATGAGATCTGGTTATATAACGATGTGGCACCTCATTCCTCTCTCAGCCTTGCTCCTGCTCCTGCCGTATGAAACATTTCATTGCTGTTTTCCTACTGGTATGATTGGGAGGCTTCCTGAGTCCTTCCAGAAGCAGAAGCCACTGTGCTTTCTTTACAGCCTGCAGAACCATGGGCCAATTAAACCCCTTTTCATTATGATCATACAGAAAATAAAGTACTGTGAAGTGGAGCTATGAAATATCTTCAATGACATTTCCCCATCGTCTTGACTATTAGCACTGGACTTCTTTTTAATGCAAATATCTGAAGCCTTCTTGAAGTTTCCCCCTGAAAATGGACTTCTTTTTCTTCTACATTACCAAGCAGCAACAAAGATAGCTGAAAATGTAAAGCAGGTTCAGAAGTGTGTAAAAGCCAGAGGTTGGAGAGTTTGGAGAGCTTGAAAGAAGACAGGAAGATGAAGAAATTTTGGACCATCGTAGGCACTTGTTAAATAGTTGTGATTAAAAGGCTGGCAGAAGGATGGACAGTGAAGGCCAGGCTTACAAGGTCTCAGATGAAAATGAGGAAATTACTGGGAACAGGAGCCAAGGTTACTTTTGTTTTGCTGTAGCAAAGAACATGGCTGCAGGGTGACCTTGCCCTCGAGATCTGTGAAACTTTTAACTTGAGGGTGACGATTTAGTACATATCTGGTGGAATGAAGTTCTAGGCAGCATAGCACAAGGGGGATCCTGTCTGCATCAAACAGCCTGTGCTCTTGTGTGACCGAGGTTATGTGTGACCGAGGAAATGACCTCAAGTTGGAACTTATATTTAAAAATGACAAGCAGAGCTCAAAAGTTTGGAACATTTGCAGCCTGGCCAAGTGTTCAAAAAGAAAAGCTGATTTTCAGGGGGAAAATTCATGAAGGCTCCAGAAATTTGCATAAAATGGAGGCCAGTGCTAATAGCCAAGACAATGGGGGAAAAAACCTTGGAGGCATTTCAGAGATGTTTGCAGCAGCCCTTGCTGTCACAGTCCCTGGGGCCTAGGAGAGAAGAATGGTTTCCGGGGCCAGCCCCATGGCCCTGCTGCTGAGTGCAGCCTCAGGACGCTGCTGCCTGCATCCCAGCAGCCCCATCTCCTGCTCCGACCTTGGCTGAAAGATGCACAGGTACAGATTGCATCACTGCTTCAGAGGGTAGAAGCTATAAGGCTTCATGGCTTCCACATAGTGTTAAGCCAGCGAGTCCATAGATCACTAGCCCAGAGGCTTCGGAGCCTTCATATAGATTTTGGAAGATGTATGAAAATGTTTGGGTGTCCAGACAGAAGGCTGCCAAAAACCAGAGCCTCTTGGGAAACCTCTACTAGGGCAGTGCAGAAGGAAAATATGGGGTTGGAGCCCCCACACTGGAGGCCACCATCATGCAGACCCCAGATTCATAGACCCACCAAGAGCTTTGTACCCTCTGTGGGTGAAAACTACAGGCACTCAACACCAGCACAGCCCATGAGGGCAGCTGCGGGAACTGAAAACTGCAAAGCCACAGGTGCAGACCTGCCCAAGGCCTTGGGAGCCCAGCCCTCATGCCCTTGTGCCCTGGATGTGGGACAAGGATTAAAAAAGGATGACTTTGGAGCTGTACGTTTTAATAACTGGCCTGCTGGGTTTTGGATTTTCATGGGATCTGTAAGTCCCGTTTGTGTTTCGTTGTTCTCTCTGGCAAAAAATCTTCCTTTAGGGTGGGAATTCTTACTCAATGTCTGGACAATCATACCTTGGAAGTAGTTAACTTGCTTTGTATTTCAGAGGCTCAGGAGCAGAAAGGATGGCATCTTTGTCTCAGACGAGACTTTGGGCTTCAGACATTTAAGTAAATGCTGGAATGAGTTAAGAAGTTGGGGGTTTTAGCCAAGACGATGGGGAAAAGTCATTGAAGGCATTTCATAGTTTCACTTCACAGTACTAATTTTCTGTATGATCATAACAAAAAGGGGTTTAATTGGCTCAAGGTTCTGTAGGCTGTAAAAAAAAAAGCATAGTGGCTTAGGGAATGGTAAGTAAGGCATCACTGTATTTTGCAAAGTGAGAAGGACATGAGATTTGGGGAGGCAGAGACAGAGGAATAAGATTCGGCTGTGTGTCCCTATGGAAACTCATGTGGAATTGTAATCAGAAATGTTAAAAGTGGGGCCAGGTGGAAGGTGATTTAATCATGGAGGACACTGGGTTTTGGAAGGTGGAGATTGGGGAGAATGGGTGGATTATGGTGGGGGTGAGGGATGAAAAGTGGGGGTGGGGGAGGATCCCTCACAAATAGTTAAACACCATCTACTTAATCCTTTCCTCATGATGGTGAGTTCTCGTGACGGTTTTGGAGCCGTGAGATTGAATGGATACTGGCCTCCTGGGTTTTGGACCTGCATTGGCCCTGTGATCCCATTTGTGTTATTTTCCTGGCAAACCTCTACCCTTTGGATTGGGAAAACTTACCCAATGCCTGTACCATCATTGTACCTTGAAAGAAAAGATCTCCCTTTTAAATTCAGGGACATATAGGCAAAAGGGACTGTAGCCTTTTCTCAGATGAGACGTGGAACTTTTTACATTCGAGTTAATGCTGAAATGACTTAAGACTTTCGGCAACTTTTGAAAAGGCATGATTGTATTTTACTCTGTGAGAAGGATATGATATTTGGGGGATCGGGGTCAGAATAGTATGATTTAGCTGCATGTCCCTACCTAAACTCACATGTAATTGTAATCCTGAATGTTGCAGGTGGGGCCTGGTGGGAGGTGACTTATTCATGGATGGGAGAGGGGTGGGGTTGGAAGTAAAAACAGGTGGGTAATGTGGGGAGGAGTAGGCTGGCTGTAGGGTGGTGTGTAGCAGGAGGGGAGTAGCCTGCCACAGAGGCAGAGGCTCATGGAAAACCTCTACTAAGGCAGAGCACCTGTGGCTTTGCAGGGTTTAGCACCTGCAGCTGCACTCATGGGCTGGGCTGGTATTCCATACTGGGGGTGTGAGCTGTTGGTGGGTCCATGACTCTTGGGGCTGGAGGATGGTGGCGTGGGGGCTCCAAGCCCATATTTTCCTTCTGCACTGCCCTAGTAGAGGTTTTCCAAGAGGATCTGTCTCTGCCGCAGGCTTTTGCTTGGAAACAGTTGGTGGTGGATATGGGGTGGTGGGCGGATCCTTCACCATCAGTTAAGCACCATCTTAATGCTGATCTCCTGATAGTGAGCTCTCATGAGATCTAGTTGTATAACAGGATATCACACCTCTTTCCTCTCTCTGTCTTGCTTCTACTCCTGCCATATGAAACATTTCATTGCCGCTTGGCCTTCTGGTATAATTGGGAGGCTTCCTGAGTCCTCCTACAAGCAGAAACCACTATGCTTTCTTTACAGCCTGAAGAACTGTGAGTCAATTAGACCTCTTTTCTTTATGTAGATACAGAAAATTAATGCTGTGAAGTGAAGTTATGAAATGACTTCTAGGAGTTTCCCCCATTCTCTTGGCTATTAGCACTGAGCTTTTTTCAATGCAAATATTGGAGGCCATCTTGATGTTTCCCCCTGATAATGGACTTTTCTTCTTTTACCACATTGCCAGGCTGCAACAAAGATAGCTGACAGTGTAGAAGCAGGTTCCAAATTGGGTAGTGGCGAGAGGTTAGAGAGTTTGGAGAGCTTGGAAGAAGACAGGAAGATGAGGGAAAGTTTGGACCATTGCAGAGACTTGTTAAATAGTTGTGAGTAAAAGGCTGACAGAAGGATGGACAGTGAAGATAGCCTTGTAAGGTCTCAGATGAAAATGAGGAACTTACTGGGAAAAGGAGCTAAGGTTTTTTTTTTTTTTTGACTTAGCAAAGTAATTGGCTACACAGTGACCCTTCCCGGGAGATCTGTGAAACTGAACTCGAGGGTGATGATTTAGGGTGTATCTGGTGGAATGAACTTCTAAGCAGCAAAGCTCAAGAGTTGTCTGGCCTACATCGAACAGCCTGTGCTCCTATGTGTGATGAAAGAAATGACCATAAGTTGGAACTTATATTTAAATGAGAAGCAGAGCTTTAACATTTGGAAAATTTGTAATCTGGACAAGTGGTCAAAAAGAAAAGCTGATTTTCAGGGGGAAAATCAAGAAGGCTTCGGATATTTGCATAAAAAGGAGCCCAATGCTAATAATTCAAGACAATGGGAAAAAGGCCTTGAAGGCATTTCAGAGACCTTTGTAGCAGCCCTTGCTGTCACTGGCCCTGGGGTTTAGGAGAAAAGAATATTTTCCTGGCCCAGCCTCATGGCTCCACTGCTGTGTGCAGCCTCAGGACACTGCTGCCTCCATCCCTGCAGCTCCTTTTCCAGCTCCAGCCATGGATGAAAGATGTACAGGTACAGCTTGCATCACTGCTTCAGAGGATGCAAGCTCCAAGCCTTGGTGGCTTCTACGTAGTGTTAAGCCAGCAGGTACATAAAGCACAGGACTAGAAGCTTCAGAGCCTTTGTCTGGACTCCAGAGGATATATCAGAAAGCCTGAGTGTCTAGCCAGAAGCTTTTCCAAGAGTCAGAGCCTCATGGTAAACCTCTACTCAGGCAGTACACAAGGAAAGTATAGGGTTGGAGTCCCCATACAGGGAGGCACCATTTTCCAGACCTCAGTTTCATAGACCCACCAGCTGCTTGCCCCCTTAGTGTTGAAAAGCTACAGGCACTCAACGCCAGCCTAGCCAATGAGGTCAGCTGTAGGGGGAAGATTTTGCAATGCCACATGTGCAGAGCTGCCCAAGGCCTTGGGATTCCAGCCATCACACCAACCTGTGCTCTGGATGTGGACATAGATTCCAAAAAGATGACTTGGAGCTGTATGATGGAATGACTGGCCTGCTGGGTTTTTGACTTGCAGGGGGTTTTTAAGTCTCATCTGTGTTTTGTGCTTCTTTCTGGCAAATTTCTTCTTTTTGGCTTGGAATGCTTACCCAATGCCTGTACAATCATTGTACCTTGGAAGTGGTTAACTTGCTTTGTATTTCAGAGGCTCAGGGCAGAAGGTATGGCAGCCTTGTCCCAGAAGAGACTTCGGGCTTTGGACATTTGAGTAAATGCTGGGATGAGTTAAGATTTGGGGGACTCTAGGGAAGGCATCATTGCGTTTTGTAATGTGAGAAAGACATGAACCTTGGGGGACCAGGGACAGAATAATATGTTTTGGCTCTGTGTCTCTACCAAAACTCATGTGGAATTTTAATGGGAAATGTTAAAGGTAGGGGCTGGTGGAAGGTGATTTAATCATGGTGGAGAGTGGAGGTGGGATGGTTGGTGGGGTGGGGAGTGTGGGGGGGATTAGGGGGTGAGGAGGGTTGGGGGCATTGTGGTGGGGTTAGGGGTGAAAGGCAGGGGTGGGGGGTGGATCCTTCACAAATGGACATTTGAGTAAATGCTGGAATGAGTTCAGACACTGGGGGACTGTAGAGAATGCATCATTGTATTTTGCAGTATGAGAAGGTTGTGAGATTGGGGGTCCAAAGGGAGAATAATATGATTTGGCTCTGTGTCCCTACCAAAACTCATGTGGAATTATAATTGGGAATGTTAAATGTGGGGCTTGGTAGAAGGTGATTTAATCATAGTAGAGAATGGGGGTTGGAAGGGGGATGTGGGGGAATGGACATTCATGGTGTGAGTGAGGGTGAAACATGGGGATGGGTGGCAGATCCTTCACAAATGGTTAAATACTGTCTCCTTAATGCAGTCTGTGTGATAGTGAGTTCTCATGATAAATGAATGCTGTCCTGCTGGGTTTTGGAGTCGGATTGGGCCTGTGTCCCATTTGTGTTATTTTTCTGGGAAAATCTTCCCTTTGGTTTGAGAAAGCTTACCCATTGCCTGTGCCATCGTTTTAACTTGAAAGAAAAGAATTGTCTTTTACATTCAGGGACTCATAGGCAGAAAAGATTGGTCTTGTTTTGGATGAGACTTGAATTTACTACATTTGAGTTACTGCTGGAATGAGTTAAGACTTTTTGAAACTGTTGAAAAGACGTGTTTGTATTTTTCTGTGTGAGAAGGACATGAGATGTGGGGGTGTCAGGGTCAGGATAATAAGGTTTGGCTGTGTTTCTCTACAAAAACTCATGGGGAATTGCATTCCTGACTGTTGTAGGTGGGACCTGGTGGGAGGTGATTTAATCACAAACGGGAGGTTGGTAGGGGTGGAAGGGAAAACAAATGGGTAAGATGGGGAGGATTAGGCTGGCAGTAGGGTGGTGAGAGGGTGGTGGGCAGTAGGAAGGGGGAGTAGCCTGCTGCAGTGTCAGAGCCTCATGGAAAACCTCTACCAGGGCAGTGCACCTGTGGCTTTGCAGGGTGTAGCCCCAATGGCTGCCCTCATAGGCTGGGCTGGTGTTCAGTGCCTGTAGCTTTTCCATACTGAGAGTGCAAGTTTTTGGTGGGTCTATGAATCTGGGGTCTGAGGATGGTAACCTCCTGCATGGGGCCTCCAAGCCCATCTATTTTTTCTGATCTGCCCTAGTAGAGGTTTTCCTAGTGGCTCTGCCTCTGCCTTAGGCTTCTGCCTGGAAACAGTGAGAGGTGTGGGTGGTAGGGGGCAGAACTTTCACCAATGGTTCAGCAACATCTTGATACTGACCTTGTGATAGTGAGTTCTCAGGAAATCTGGTTGTATAACAGGGTTATACAATGTGTGGCACCTTTTTCCTCTCTCTGTTTTGTTTCTATGTCTCCCATATAAAACATCCCATTGCTGCTTGGTCTTCTGGTATGATTGGGAGGCTTCCTGAATCCTTCCAGAAGCAGAAGCCTCTATGATTTATTTAAAGCTTGCAGAACCATCAGCCAGTTTAATCTCTCTTCTTTCTGATTATACAGCAAATTAATGCTATAAAGTGGAGCTATGAAATGCCTTCAAGGCCTTTTCCCTATAGTCTTGGCAATCAGCACTCAGCTTCTTTTCAGGCAAATATGTGAAGCCTGCATTAATTTTTCTCCTGAAATGGACTTTTCTTCTTTTACCACATTGCCAGGCTGTGACAAACATAGCTGAAAATGTAGAAGCAGGTTGAGAAGTGTGTAATGGCCAGAGGTTGGAGAGTTTGGAGGTCTTGGAAGAAGACAGGAAGATGAGGAAAAGTTTGGTTCAGTGTAGAGACTTGTTAAATAGTTATAATTAAAAAGGTGACAGAAGGATGGACAGTGATCACCAGGCTTAGAAGGTCTCACATGAAAATGAGGAGCTTGCTGGGAACAGGAACAAAGGTCACTTTTGTTTTTTCCTTAGCAAAGAACGTTGCTGCACTATGCCCCTAATGTGGAGACCTGTGAAATTTTGAACATCAGGGTGATAATTTAGAGTGTATTTGGTGGAATGAAATTTTAGGCAGCAAAGCTTAAGAGGTGTCCTGTCTGTGTCGAACAGCCTGTGGTCCTATATGTGACCAAAGAAATGACCTCAAGGTGAAACTTATATTTAAATGAGGAGAGCTTAAAAGTTTGAAAAATTTGCAGCCTGGCCAAGTGGTCAAAAAGAAAAGCTGATTATCAGTGGGAAAATTCAAAAAGTCTTCAGAAATGTGCATAAAATGGAGTTCAGTGCTAATAGCCAATACAATGTTAAAAAGGCCTTGAAGGCATTTCAAAGACTTTTGCAGCAGCCCTTGCTATCACAGGCCCTGAGACCTGAGAGAAAAGAATGGTTTCCTTTTCCAGCCCCATGTCCCCGCTGCTATGTCCATCCTCAGGACACTGCTGGCTGCATTTCTGAAGCTCCAGCTCCAGCCATGGCTGAAAGATGCACAGGTAGAGCTTGGGTCACTGCTTCAGAGGGTGCAAGCTGCAAGCCTTGGTGGCTTCCACATAGTGTTAAGCCAGCAGGTGCACAGAGCACAAAACTAGAGGCTAGGGATCCTTTGTCTGGACTCCAGAGTATGTATGGAAAAACCTGGGTGTCCAGGTCGAAACTTTTCCAAGAGGCAGAGCCTCCTTTACTAGGGCAGTACAGAAGGAACATATAGGGTTCGAACCCCATACAGGGAGGCACCATTCTGCCAATGCCAGATTCATAGACTCACTAGCAGCTTGCACCTTGATTGTGGAAAAGCTGTAGCTACTCAACACCAGCCCAGCCCATGAGGGCAACTGTGGAGGTTAGACCCTGCAAAGTCACAGGTGCAGACCTGCCCAAGGCCTTGGGAGCCCAGGCCTCATAGCCTTGAGCTCTGGATGTGGGATCTGGATTCAAAAAAAATGATTTGGAGCTGTAGAATTCAATGACTGGCCTGTTGGGTTTTTGACTTGTATGGGGTCTGTAAGTCCCAACTGTGTTTTGTGCTTCTTTCTGACAAATTTCTTCCTTTTGGCTGGGAATACTTACCCAATGCATGTACAATCATTGTACTTTGGAAGTACTTGCTTTGTATTTCAGAGGCTCAGGGGTAGAACATATGGCAGCCTTGTCTCAGAAGAGACTTTGGGCTTTGGGCATTTCAGTAAATGCTGGAATGAGTTAAGAGATTGGGAAACTGTAGAGAAAGCATCATTGTACTTTGCAGTGTGAGAACAACATGAGATATGGGGACCAGGGTCAGAATAATATGATTTGGCTCTGCATCCCTACCAAACTCATGTGGAATTGTAATGGGGAATGTTAAAGCTGGGGCCTGGTGGGAGGTGATTTAATCATGGAGAAGAATGGGTGTTGGAGGTAGGGGAGTGGGGAGAATGGGGGAGATTATTTTGTGGGTGGGAGTGAAAGATGAGGGTGGGGGGGCAGATCCTTCACAAATGGTTAAGCATACTCTCCTTAATGCTGTTCACATGACAGTGAGTTCTCTTGATGATTTTGGAGCTGTGAGATTGAGTGAATACTGTCCTGCTGGGTTTTGGACTTGCATTGGGCCTGTGGGCCCATTTGTGTTATTTTTCTGGGAAATTTCTTCCCTTTGGACTGAGAAATCTTACCCAATGCCTCTACCATCATTGTACCTTGAAAGAAAAGAACTCCATTTTAAATTCAGGGACTCATAGGCAGAAGGGACTGTGGCCTTATCTCAGATGAGACTTTGAATTTTTAAAATTTGGAATGAGTTAAGACTTTTTCAAACTTTTGAAAAGTCATGATTGTATTTTGCTCTGTGATAAGGACATGAGATTCTGGAATATCAGGGTCAGAATTATATGGTTTGCCTGTGTGTCCCTATGAAACTCATGTGGAATTGTAATCTCTAATGTTGAAGCAGGTGACTTAATTATGGACAGGAGGTTGGTGGTGGTGGAAGGTAAAAGGGATCGGTAGGATGGGGAGGAGTGGGTTGGCAGTAGGGTGGTGGGAGGGTGGGGGGAAGTAGGAAGGGGGAGTAGACTGCTGCAGAGGCAAAGCCTCACGGAAAACCTCCACTAGGGAAGTGCACCTGTGGCTTTGCAAGTTTTAGCCCCACAGCTGTTCTCGTGGGCTGGGCTGGTATTGAGGGCCTGTAGCTTTTCCACACCAAGGGTGTGAGTTGTTGGTGGGCCTATGAATCTGGGATCTGGAGGTTGGTGACAACCTGTGTGGGGGCTCTAAGCCCATATTTTCTTTCTGCACTTCCATAATAGAGGTTTTCAAGAGGCTCTGCATCTGAAGGAGGCTTCTGCCTGGAAACAGTGGGAGTTGGGTGTGTGGGTCAGATCCTTCACCAATGTTTAAGCACCATCTTCTTGATGCTGACCTTGTGATAGTGAGTTCTCATGAGATCTGCTTGTATAATGGGTATGACAACTTTTTCCTTTCTCTGTCTTGCTCCTACTCTTGCCATATGAGACATCTCCTTGCCCTTTGACATTCTGGTATGATTGGGAGGCTTCCTGAGTCCTGTCAGATGCAGAAGCCACTATGCTTCCTTACAGTCTGCAGAATCATTAACCAATTAAACCTGTTTTCTTTATGATCATGGAGAAAATTATGACTGCAAAGTGGATCTATTAAGTGTCTTCAAGGCCTTCTCCCTAATGTCTTGGCAATCAGCACTCAGCTTCTTTTCACTCAAGTATCTGAAGCCTCCTTGAATTTTTCCCCAGAAAATGGGCTTGTCTTCCTTTACCACATTGCCAGCCTGCGACAAAGATAGCTGATAATATAGAAGCAGGTTCAGAAGGGGGTAGCAGATGGAGTTTGGGAGAGTTTGGAGGACTTCGAAGACAGGGAGATGAGGGAAAGTTTGGATCTTTGTAAAGAATTGTTAAATACTTGTGATCAGAAGGCTCATAGGAAAATAGACAGTAAGGATCAGATTAAGAAGCTCTCAGATGAAAAGGAGGGACTTACTGCAAACAGGAGCCAAGGTTACTTTTGTTTTGCTGCAGCAAAGAACGTGGCTGCACAGTGACCCTGCCCTGGAGATCTGTGAAACTTTGAATTTGAGGGTGACGGCTTACTGAGTATCTGATGGAATGAACTTCTGGGCAGCAAAGCTGAAGGGGTGTCCTGTCTGTATCAAACAGCCTGTGCCCTTATGTGTGACTGAGGAAATGACATCTGGATGGGTCTTACATTAAATCAGTCCCAACTCTAATATTAAATGAGAAACAGAACTCAAAAATTTGCAGCCTGACCAAATGGTCAAAAAGAAAAGCTGATTTTCAGGATAAAACTGAGGAAGGCTTCAGAAATTTGCATGAAAAGGAGCCCAGTGCTAATAGCCAAGACAATAGGGAAAAGGCCTTGAAGCCATTTCAGAAAACTTTGCAGCAGCCCTTGCTATCATAGGCCCTGGGGCCTCGGAGAGAAGAATGGTTTCCTGGGCCAGTTCCATGACCCCCCTCTATGTGCAGCCTCAGGACACTGCTGCCTGCATCCCTGCAGCTCTAGTTCCAGCCATGGCTGAAAGATGCACAGGTACAGCTTGCATCACTGCTTCAGGGGTGCAAGCTTCAAGCCTTGGTGGCTTCCACACAGTGTTAAGCCAGCAGCTGCGCAGAGGACAAAACTAGAGGCTTGGGAGCCTTTGTCTAGACTCCAGAGTATGTAAGGAAAAACCTGGGTGTTCAGGCAGAATCTTTTCCAAGAGGCAGAGCCTCATGGGAAACCTTTACTAGGGCAGTACAGAAGAAGAATATAGGGCTGGAGTCCCTAAATATGGAGGCACCATTATCCAGACCCCAGATTCATAGACGCACCAACAGCTGGCATCCTTAGTGTGGAAAAGCTACAGGCACTCAACACCAGCCCAGCCCATGAGGACAGCTGTGGGGGATAGACCCTGCACAGCCACAGGCACAGAGCTGCCCAAGGCCTTGGGAACCCAGGCATCACAAACCTGTGCTCTAGATGTGAGATGTAGATTCAGAAAGGATGATTTGGAGCTGTAGGATTCAATGACTGGCCTGCTGGGTTTTTGACTTGCATGGGGTCTGTAAGTCCTTGTACATTTCAGTAAATGCTGGAATGAGTTAAGTCATTGGGGGGAAGTAGAGAAGTCATCATTGTATTTTGCAGTGTGACAAGGATACAAGATTTGGGGAGCAAGAGCCAGAATAATATGATTTGATTCTGTGTCCCTACCAATACTCATGTGGAATTGTAGTGGGGAATGTTAAAGGTGGGACCTGGTGGGAGGTGATTTGATCATGGAGAAGAGTGGGTGTTGGAGGTAGGGGTGTGGGGAGAATGGGAGAGATTATTTTGTGGGTGGGAGTGAAAGATGAGGGTGGGGGAGCAGATTCTTCACAAATGGGTAAACACTATCTCCTTAATGCTGTCCGCATGACAGTGCGTTCTTTTGATGACTTTGGAGCTGTGAGATTGAGTGAATACTGTCCTGCTGGGTTTTGGACTTGCATTTGTGTTATTTTTCTGGGGAATTTCTTCCATTTGGATTGAGAAACCTTACCCAATGCCTGTTGTACCTTGAAGGAAAAGAAATCCCTTTTAAATTCAGGGACTCATTGGCAGAAGGGACTGTAACCTTGTCTCAGATGAGACTTGGAAATTTTTACATTTGGAATGAGTTAAGACTTTTGGAAACTTTTGAAAAAGCATGATTTTGTTTTGCTCTGTGAGAAGGACATGAGGTTCTGGGGTATCAGGGTCAGAATAATATGGGTTGGCTGTGTGTCCCTATATAACTCACGTGTCATCCTTAATGTTGGAGGTGGGCCAGGTGGGAGGTGTTTTAATCTTGGATGAGAGGGGGTTGGGGTGGAAGGAAAAGGGGTGGTAGTGTGGGGAGGAGTAGGTTGTCAGTAGGGTGGTGGGAGGGTGGGAGTAACCTGCTGCAGAGGCAGAGGCTCATGGGAAACCTCTACTAGGACAGTGCACCTGTGGCTTTGCAGGGTGTAGCCCCCATGGCTGCTGTCATGGGCTGGGTTGGTGTTGAGTGCCTGTAGCTTTTCCATACTGAGGGTGTGAGCTGTTGGTGGGCTTACAAATCTGGAGTCTGGAGGATGGTGGCCTCCTGTGTGGGGGCTCAAAGCCTATATTTTCCTTCTGCACTGCCATAGTGGAAGTTTCCTAAGAGGTTCTGCCTCTGCAGGAGGCTTCTGCCTGGAAGCAGTGGGCGGTGGTGTGGGTGGAGAATCCTTCACCATTGGTTAGTCTTCTTGATGCTGATCTCCTGGGAGTGAGTTCTGATGTGATTTGGTTGTCTAACAGGATGTCACACCTCTTTCCTTTCTCTGTCTTGCTCCTACTCCTGCCATATGAAACATCTCTTTGCTGCTTGGCCTTCTGATATGGTTAGGAGGGGCCTGATCAGTGTGGGCCTGCTCAGTGGACCTAGTCAATCGGGACTTGGTCGTAAGGCCTATTTAGTGGGGGGTGGTCAGCAGGGGTCTGCTTAGAGAGGGTCTCATTAGAGGGATCTAGTAGTGCAGGTCTTGGTGAGTGGGTTCCTAGTGGCAGACAAATGTTTGGTGTCTGGTCAATGCCAACCTGTGCTGTGGGACTTGGTCAGTGGAGACCTTGTCAGCTGGGGCTTAGTGATGGCCTTGTCAGATTGGGCTGGGTTACTGGTGACCAGGTCAAGGGGTGCTATTCAGTGGAGGCCTGGTCACATGGGACCTAGTCAGCAGAGGCGCTTGTCAGTGGGGCCCTGGTCAGGGCAGGCTGGTCCGTGGAAACCTAATCAGTGGGGGCCTGGTCAGAGAGGACTTGATCAGTGGTGGCTTTTGTAGCACTGGTCTACGGGGTGACCTGGTCAGCAGGGATCTGAGCAGTGCATACCTGTTCAGTGGGGCATACTCATTAGGGTCCTGGTCAGGGGCATCTGGTCACCTCAGGCCTGGTTAGCAGGGGCCTGGTCACTGGCATCATATTCCCTGCAGGCCTAGTCAGTAGGGCTTCATCTGTGGGACCAGGCAATGGGGTCATGATCGGTGGAACCTGATCAGTGAGGCCTTGTCAGTAAGGACCTGGTCAGTGAGGCCTTGCCAGTGAGGCCTTGTCAGTAAGATCCTCGTCTGTGGAGTCCTGGTCATTGTGGGCCTGGCAGCGGGAATCTAGTTAGTGAGGCCTGGTGAAGGGGGTCTAATCAGTGAGGGTGTGGTCAGGGAGGATCTGATATGCTGAATCTGCTCAGCAGGGACCTGGTCAGTGGGGGCTGCTGAGCACTACTGGGAAATGTCAGGGGAAATGCATGTTATCAAGGAGCCTGTGGACAGTTGGGGTGGCCCAGTGGTGTTCAATGGCCCAGTCAAAAGTGGACAAAGCAGGTGTCTGGATGGACCTGGGAGATCTTGCTCAGAGATTCTGATGGGACAAAGGTAAAGGAAGGGCCAGAGTGGTCAGAGAGAGGGTCACAGTCTATGGTCTGCACAGGATGGAGGAGGCCAGGGAACAGGCAGGGTGGGCAGCTGGGTTTCAGGGAGAGGCAGGTGCATGCTGGGAGGTCAGACCCTGTGAGGGCTGTGGGGGCATCAGGTGGGGTGGGCTCCAGGTGCACGCTCAGTGCACTGGGCAGGTCTTGGCCCAGGCTCTCTGGACCCCGGCTGGGTGATGTGGTCACTTACTGGGGGACTGTTGTCAGGCGCTGGCCACCCACCCTGGGTAGCACTGTCCCACCTCACGACTGGACTTCCTCAGATCCTGCAGAGGGCACAGCCTCCAGCCCAGGATAGGCAGCCCCTTGGTGGAGCCTGAGCTCTCCATGGGCCTGGAGCATCACCTGCCAGCCCTGCACTCTCTCTTCTCCCAGGTCCTGCTTTTCCAGGGTCAGCCAGTGGGGAGGACCCATCCTCCCTTCCCTATGTGTCTCCTGAGCTGAAACTTGCAGTGCACTGGGACAGGGATGAGGCTTCCCTAAGGCCCATTTAGGGAGAAGACTGGCTCCCAGCCTGGCACAGGTCCTCAGCTCTGCCTTGGTTGCCTTAGAATGAGATGGATCAGTCAGTGCCCTGAAGGTAAAGGTAGGAGACTGTCCCTGCTTTTGGGAGGCTGGTCTAGGGATGGAGGACTTAACAGGTCCTCCCAGTCTGTCAGGTCTGGGAAGCACTGTCCTGTCTCAGGACTCAGAAAGTCCAGTCCTAGGATGGGACGGTGCTGCCAAGGGGGCGTGGCCAAGGTCTGACAGCAGTCCCCCAGGGAGTGACCACATCACCCAGCCGGGGTCCAGGAAGCCTGGCCTGAGACCTGCCCAGTGCACTGATGGTGCACCTGGAGCCTACTCCACCTGATGAGCCCACAGCCCTCACAGATCCTGACCTCCCAGAATGCACCTGCCTCTCCCTGCACCCCAGCTGTCCACCCTGCCTGTTCTCTCACTTCCTCCATCCTGTCCAGCAGGATGGGATGGGCAGGGGGACAGCCTGTGTGCACATTTCATGGCAAGCAGGAGTGACACATCATCCCTGGGAGGCGCCTTGCTTCCTCCAAAACCCGGCCCCAGAACTCTGTCCCTGGGGTGGTTTTACCAAATCCCAAACCCAGAACTGTGGTTGTGGTTCAGGGGTCAGCGCCCGCTGGTTCTACAATGTCGCCAAGGACTTTGATTGTACATTGTTCTTCTTTTCAATAGTCATTCCAAATATTGTGAGATGTATTGTTTCAGGAAGCCCCTTGCCCTCCTAAAAGCCACCCTACTTCTCTCTAAGGAGAATGGCCCAGTCCTCTCCCGAGTTCACACAGGGGAGGTGATAGCATTGCTTTTGTGTAAATTACATAATGCAAAAATTTTTAAATCTTTGCATTAATACTTTTAACTTTTGTTTTATTTTTAATGATTAGCCTTCATGGCCCCCCTTTTTTGTACCCCAACTTGGAGTGTATGAAGGGTTTTGGTCTCCCTGAGAGCGGCTGGAGGCAGCCAGGGCTTATCTGTACTCTGACTTGAGAAAAGTTGGATAAAAGTGCACATCTTAAAAAAAATTGAATGACGAAGAATTAACAAAAACTATTTCAGTACAGTGGACAGCTTAGCATTTTGACAATTGGGAATAAAATGCGCAATTCTGAACTGTAAAATGTAAGACACAAAAACGAAACACTGGAAATGGAAATTCAATTATGTCACTGTAGACTGGCTACTGCTCTACATGATTGTGACCAAAGTCAGATAGTTGAAAGAGATTTCTTTCCAGAGAACAAGACATGAACAGGTTTATTTACAGAAAACAATGAATTCTCATATATCTAACCTAAAATATAACAGATTCTTTCCGAACAAGTCTAATGTAGACAGTAAAATTAACAGGCTAAAAATTAAGCTCCATCAAACAAGATGAACTCTGAGAGAATAGATGGGGCAGGCCTCCATCTTTCCTGTTCAGGCAACTTAGTCATTCCAGCCTGAGGGCTTTGGAGAGGACAAACCGACCAGTGGCAGAAGAGATCCCACAGCACAGCATAGCTGCTTTACCAAATCATGGCCAGACTGCTTCTGTAAGCAGGCCCCTGACCCTGTTCCACGTCACAGGACAGGACCTCCCAACTGGGGCCTCCAGCTACCGCCACCAGCATTCCTTGGCCAATGGAAATTTGAAGTGTTCCTGGGACAGAGCTCCCAGAGAGAGGGGCAGGCCACCACCTTTGCTGTTTGGGTGACTAGCCGTTCTGGCCTGCGGGCTTTGGAAAGCCCAAGGTGAAAAGGGGTGGAAGAGGAAACTCAGCACAGCACAGCACAGCCACACTACAAAAACGTGGCCAGACTCTTGTTTAAGTCAGTCCCCGACCACATTTCTAATCAGTGGGTGAAGCCTTTCAACCAAGGTCTCCAGCTACATTCACTGCTGTTCTCTGGCTGACAGAGGTTTCAGGCCTCCCTGAGTCAGAGCTCCCAGGGGGAGGACCAGACTGTCATCTTTGCTGTTGGGGCAACTCAGCCATTTCAGCCTTAGGGCTTCAGAGTGTCTGAGGCGACCAGGAGTGGAAGTGAACCCCCAGCATAGCACAGCTGCTCTAGAAAAACGTGGCCAGACTTTTTTTTTAAGCAAGTCCCTGTTCTTGTTCCTCCTGACTAGATAAGACTTCTCAACTTGTCTCCAGTCACATCTTATAGGTGTGTTCATATCGGCAACAAGTTCGTACCTCAGTGGCCCAGAGCTCCCAGAGGAAGGGGCAGGCTATCATCTTCCCTGGAAAATACAAGGCAAATAGGGACTGGAGGGGATACCCAGCATACCAGCAGCCTGACAGAAAAGTGGCCAGACAGTCTACTTGATGAGCAGGTCCTCCTGGCCTGGGTCTCCAGCCAGTCCACCATTGGAGCTATCAAGCCAGTAGCAACTCAGCAATTCCCTGGACAGAGCTTCCAGGAGCAAATGAAATTCTCTCTGCCACTGTCTCTGCAGTGGAACTGCCCTTGCTACCCTCAGAATATCAAGGGAGCAAAGACCCTAAGTGCCATATCGACACCTCCAATAAGCTGCAGTTGACCCAACGAACAAGCCAGTCCATCTCCCACGGGTACCACACACCCCACACTGCTCATCACCAGAGAGGGAACCCTGGCTTGGGCTCACAACACAGACCCTCCATCCTGGGCTGATTACGCTAACTCACATCTCTCTGGGATGGAGCACCCAGGAGAAAAGCAGAGTGGTGGAGCAGCAAGTCAGGTGATGTGGAGCCCAGAGGACAGGGACAGCTATCTCTCTAGGTTCCACTTGCCCTTGTGAGACACTTCATCCCAGCACTTTAGGAATGCTAAGCTCAGATCAGCCCCATCTCATGTTCAAGATTGCCCAGCAGAGATCAGGTCCCAGAGTTCCTCTCTTAAAAAAGGGGACTTGCTTAAAAAAGAAGCCTGCCCATGTTTGTGTAAAGCAGCTATGCTGTGCTGGGGGTTCACTTTTGAGAGAGTTCTCCTCTGAGACCTGATCTCTGCTGGGCAGTCTTGCCCATGAGATGGGGCTGGTCTGATCTCAGCACTCCTTAGTCTGCTTGCCTCTCCCAGGACCCCAGCCTGGCCACACCTGCTTACAGGGCACTTTCGGATGCCCACAGCATAGCTTCCGTGCTAGTGGACCATACCTGATCAGTGGAGAGCTGCAGCAAGGTGGCCCCAACAGCCACACACCAGTCTGCAGATTACCTCTCCATACTGCAGCCCTTTATATGGAAACTTCCTACATCACTTTGCTGTGTGTGTTTACACAGGTGGGTTTTGCTGTACTTGCCCTGAGAGCACATGGGAGTGCAGCACACACACCAACCCACACCAACTGCCATTGAAGACAGAGCCTTGGTGGGCACAGAACCAAGAACCCCACCCCTGCCAGCACCTCACCGTTGAGCTAATGCTGTGCAGAGAAAAAGGGACCTTCTTATACCCTGAGCGACCACTGTTGCTTTGAGGGGCACAGAGAAGGCACCATGGTCTGCACTGGCCAGCAGCTCACTCTGAACGAACATTACCTCCAGTACAACACACACACAGCAGGGGAGCCCTGGCCCACACCCCAGCTGTCTTGTCTCCACCACTGGGTGAACACCCGCAGGGAGGCAGGGAATTTTGCATCCACTAGCATTCCGTCACAGTTGCTACACTTCGGTCCCCACAGAGCAGTGGACTCCAAACCTCGAGGAGCCAGAGAACAAAGTTGGGGCCCAAGACAAGTTCCCCAGAGTTAAAGCAAACAGTCCAGGAATTGGGAGCTGCACATTGGCCCCCCCAAAATCCTCCAAAAACAAAGCCAGTTGGTTGAATCCACCTTATACCGCAATGAAACCCTCAAGATCATCAAATACAATAAAAGAAAAATACCCTGTCCAAAGGTCAGCAACCTCAAAGATGGAAGGTGGATAAGCCCATAAAGATGAGAAAGAATCTGTGTGAGAACACTGAAAACTCAAAAAGTAGCATGCCTTCCTTCCTCCAAATGACTGCATCAACTCTCCAGCAAGTGTTCTGAACTGGGCTGAGGCTGAGATGTCTGGAATGATACAAGCAGTGTTCAGGATATGCGTAGGAACAAAGTTCACTGAGTGAAAGAAGTATGTTGTCATGCAATACAAGCGAGCTAAAAATCATTTTAAAACATTGCAGGAGCTAACAGACAAAATAGCAAGTATAAAGAAGACGTAACCGACCTAATAGAGCTGAAAAGCACACTATAAGAATTTTCATAATGGAGTCACATGGTGATTATGTGTGATTGCATTATGAAAATTATTGTAGTGTGTGTGGGCACCCGAGATTGCCCTGTAAGCAGGTGTGGCCAGGCTGGGGTCCTGGGAGAGGCAAGCAGACTAAGGAGGGCTGAGGTCAGACCAGCTCCATCTCATGTGCAAGACCACCCAGCAGAATAGACCAAACAGAGGAAAGAATCCCAGAGCTTGAAAACTGGCTTTCTGAAATAAAACAGGCAGACAAGAATGGGGGAAAAAAGAAGGAAAAGGAATGAACAAAGCATCCAAGAAATATGGGATTATATAAACGACCAAACCTATGACTGATTAATGTATCTGAAAGAGATGAGGAGAATGGAACCAGCTTGGAAAACGTACTTCAGAATATCTTTCATGAGAATGTCCCCAACCTAGCCAGACAGGCCAACATTCAAATTTAGGAAATCCAGAGGACCGCAGTAAGATATGCCATGAAAAGATCATCCCCAAAACATATAATCATCAGATTCTCCAAGGTCAAAATGAGAGAAACAATGTTAAAGGCAGCTAGAGAGTTAAAATGGTTAAAATGAGAGCTAGAGAGTTAAATGGTTAAAAAAAAAAGACAAGAAATTTCAACCCAGAACTTCATGTCCAGCAAAATTAAGCATCATAAGTGAAGGAGAAACAAGATCCTTTCCAGACAAGCAAATGCTGAGAGAATTCATTATCACCAGATCTACCTTACAAGAGCTCCTGAATGAAGCACTAAATATGGAAAGAAAAGACCATCACCAGCCACTACAAAAATGCACCGAAGTACACAGAACAGTGATGCTAAAAACCAACCACATACACAAGTCTGCAAAATAACCAGCTGACAGCATGACGACAAGATCCAATCCACACATACCATTACTAACCTTAAATGGAAATGGGCTAAATGCTCCGATTGAAAGACACAGGGGGGCAAGCTGGATAAAGAACCAAGACCAATTTGAGTATGCCATCTCCAAGAAACCCATCTCACATGCAGTGCCATACATAGGCTCAAAATAAAGGAATGGAGAAAAATCTTTCAAGCAAATGGAAAACAGAAAAAAGCAGGTGTTGCCCTCCTAGTTTTGACAAAACGTATATACCAATAAAGATTAAAAAAGACAGAGAAGGACATTACAAAGATGTCCCTGACCTTTGATAAATCTCATTATTGCTTGATACCAACCTGGGCTATCTTTATTGCCCAAATCAACAGGATAATTTGCTGAGGTTGTGGAGTTTCTCCCCTGCAGAGGGTCCCTGATCTCCCAAAATCTAGTTGAGATCTAAGTTTGATTTTGCTGTACAACTCCTTTTCTGAAGTTTTACTCATTTCCAACAAGGAAGGCAAGTTTTCCTGCTTCCACGATGATGGAGAGCAGGCACCTCCTTTCCTGAGTTTCAGCTTGCTTCTGACAGGGAAGGTGAGTGTAAGTTTTTTCCAGCTTCTAATATGGCAGAGAACGATCACCAGCCTGAGCCTTATTTCCAGGTAAGTAGCTGAATTAGAGTTTTGTCTTAAAATTTTTCCTTAATGACTAAAATTTAAGATTACTCACCAGCTGCTTTTAATTTCTGCTTTTAATTTCTCCTTACCATTAGAACACTCAGTAATCATATGAATTGTGCATTTGTTGTTTTGCTTAACTCTTTTTGTTTGTTTATGCTTGGGGTTTTATTATTGTTGTTTCACTTTTCTCCCATCTCTTCCTGACTTGGTCAAATTCAAAGGAATGTTCCAAATTGTGGGGAGCAAGGCCTCTGAATTGGCTAAAACTCCTATGGCTGCAAAAAAACAAACAAATAAACAACAACAAAAAACATTCCAGTTAGCAGAAATTATTTTTTAAAACTTTTTTTTTACGTAAGTGGTCTCATCTACATAAAAAGGCCATTCTTTTGCTAGCCAAGGCCAAAGTGAAGGAGTACTGGTGGTGACCTAATGTGAAGATTCTGCCCTGTTCACTACAGTAACCTGAGTTTGATTCCTAAGTCTAGTTCTTTCTGTTTGATATTTGTGTTACTTTTAGAACGTCAGCAGTTTGTCCCAGCTATGATGTGGTAGTAAAAGATTCGAAAGGATTTTCTTTACAAGTTCTATGATTAAAAGCTTAATTAAAAGCAAATTTCTTTTTTTTTAATTATACTTTAAGTTCTGGGGTACATGTGCAGACATGCAGGTTTGTTACATAGGTATACACATGCCATGGTGGCTTGCTGCATCCATCAACCCATGATCTACATTAGTTATTTCTCCTAATGCCGTCCCTCTCCTAGCCCCCCACCCTGACAGGCCCTGGTGTGTGGTGTTCCCCTTCCTGAGTCCATGTGTTCCCATTGTTCTACTCCCAGTTATGAATGAGAACATGTGGTGTTTGGTTTTCTGTTCTTGTGTTAGTTTGCTGAGAATGATGCTTTCCAGCTTCATTCATGTCCCAGCAAAGGACGTGAATTCATCCTTGTTTATGGCTGCATAGTATTCCATGGTGTATATATGCCACATTTTCTTTATTCAGTCTATCATTGGTGGGCATTTTGGTTGGTTCCAAGTCTTTGGTGTTGTGAACAGTGCCGCCATAAACAGACAGGTGCATGTGTCTTTATATTAGAATGATTTATAATTTTGGGTGTATATACCCAGTAATGGGATTGCTGGGTCAAATGATATTTCTAGCTGTAGATCCTTGACGAATTGTCACACTGTCTTCCACAATGGTTGAACTAATTTATATTCCCACAAACTGTGTAAAAGTGTTCCTATTTCTCCACACCCTGTCCAGCATCTGTTGTTTCCTGATTTTTTAACAATGGCCTTTCTAAGTGGTGTGAGATTGTATCTCACTGTGGTTTTGATTTCCATTTCTCTAATGACCAGTGATGATGTGCTTTGCTTCACATGTTCATTGGCTGTATAAATGTCTTCTTTGGTAAGTGTCTATTCATATCCTTTGTCCACTTTTTGATGGGGTTGTTTTTTTTCTTGTAAATTTGTTCTTTGTAGATTCTGCATATTAGCCCTTTGTCAGATGGATAGATTGCAACAATTTTCTCCCATTCTGTGGGTTGCCTGTTCACTCTGATAATAGTTTCTTTTGCACTGCAGATACTGTTTAGTTTAGTTAGATCCCATTTGTCAATTTTGGCTTTTGTTGCCATTGCTTTTTGTGTTCTAGTGATGAAGTCTCTGCCCATGGCTCTGTCCTGAATGATATTGCCTAACACAAGGAGATTCCTGTGCCTGAGTGCTATACCACCCAAAGTAATTTACAGATTCATTGCTATCCTCATCAAGCTACCATTGACTTTCTTCATAGAATTAGAAAAACTACTTTAAATTTCATATGGAACCAAAAAAGAGCCCACATAGCCAAGACAATCCTAAGCAAAAACAACAAAGCTAGAGGCATCACAGTACCTGACTTCAAATTATTCTACAAGGCTACAGTAATCAAAACAGCACGGGGCTGGTACTAAATCAGATCTATAGACCAGTGGAACAGAACAGAGGCCTCAGAAATGACACCACACATCTAAAACCATCTGATCTTTGACAAACCTGACAAAAACAAACAATGGGTAAAGGATACCCTATTTAATAAATGATCTTGGGAAAACTGGCTAGCCTTATGCAGAAAACTGAAACTGGGCCACACCCATACACCTTAAACAAAAATTAAGTAACATGGATGAAAGAGTTAAACGTAAGACCTAAAACCATAAAAAAATCTAGAAGAAACCTAGGCCACCAACCTCAGGGGAAATGCACCTGTAGTGAAATGCATGGTACAAACACGCATTCCCTGCTTCCTTGAGTGGGCGAAGTTGATGGCTAGTCCAGTCACTCCAGGCACTCCCTTGCAAACGCAGCTGGTTGCTTTTTGAGCCAGCTTGGCTTTGCCCGGCATGCACAAGTCAGTGCAACAACTGTGACACAAATGGAGCCACACAGAGAAAATGAGCAGCAGGCTCAGGAGCAGGGTGTGCGCTGCCTTGGGGGCTCCAGTCCATACCTCAGGGCTCATATGGCACTGCGGGCTTCTTGGTTGCAAAGAGGCAGACCACAGGCCATCTTCAGGAGGTCTTTATGTGCAGAAAGCAGCCAGGATTACCACCCGTGGGACTCGGCCTTTTGTGACCCTGGCCTGACAGAGTTTGGTCCAAGGCAGGACAAGCTCACTCAGAGCAACGTGTCAGTACCTGGGGCCTGTGCATGCCAGTCAAGGCCAAGCTGGCTCAAAGAGCAACCAGCCACCTCTGCAAGGGTGTGCCTGGAGAAGGTGGAGGAGCCACCAACCTCACCCACTCAAGGAAGCCCAGATGGCCAGGTTCCAACAGCATGAGTGGCTGCCACCTTATGACTGATGGAGCAGAGTCCTGAGGAAAAGCAGATGGCACTGTGGCCCTAACTCTAGGGCAGAAGAACTGATGTACCCTGACTGGCAGCATGTGAGGTTGGTGACTGGCCCACCTGCTCCTGGCACACCCCTGCAGGGGTGGCTGGTTGCTCTTTGAGCCAGCTTGGCCTTGCCTGGAATGCACAAGCCTCGGTGAAACAACCGTTCTACAAATGGAGCCATATATAGGAAAGGAGCAGGAGGGTCAGGAGCAGGGTGTGCACTGCCTTTGGGGTTCCAGTCCATGCCTCAGGGCTCCTATGGCACTGCAGGCTTCTTGGTTGCCAAGAGGCAGACCACAGGCCGTCTTGAGGAAGACTTTATGTTCAAGTGCAGAAAGCAGCCAGGATTAGCACCCAGGGGACTCGGCCTTCTGTGGCCCTGGCCTGAGAGAATTTGGCCCAAGGCAGGACAAGCTCACTCAGAGCAGTGTGTCAGTAGGTGGGGCCTGTGCATGAGAGGCAAGGCCAAGCTGGCTTAAAGAGGAATCAGCCACCTCTGCAAGGGTGTGCCTGGATCAGGTGGACAAGCCACCAACCTCACCCACTGAAGGAAGCCAGGATGGCCAGGTTTCCACAGCCTGAGTGGCTGCCTCCTGATGGCTGATGGAGCAGAGGCCTGAGGAAAAGCAGGTGGCATGTTTAACTCTTTAATCTATCTTAAGTTAATTTTTGTATAAAGCAGATGGCACCGGTCCATGCCTCGGGGTTCATATGGCACTGTGGGCCACAGAAGGCTGAGTCCCCTGGGTGGTAATCCTGCCTACTTTCTGCACTTGAACATAAAGTCCTCCTCAAGACGGCCTGTGGTCTGCCTCTCGGCCCCACCTTTAGGGTAGAAGAACTGATGTACCACTCCTGACAGTGAGTGAGGTTGGCATCTGGTCCATCTGCTCCTGGCACATTCTTGCAGAGGTGGCTGGTTGCTCTTTGAGCCAGCTTGGCCTTGCCTGCCATGCACAAGCCTCACTGCAACAAGTGTACTACAAATGGAGCCATAAAGAGGAAATGATCAGCAGGCTCAGGAATGGGGCGTGCACTGCCTTTGTGGCTCCAGTTCATGCCTCAGGGCTTGTATGGCACTGTAGGCTTCTTGGTCGCCAAGAGGCAGACCACAGGCGGTCTTGAGGAAGACTTTATGTTCAAGTGCAGAAAGCAGCCAGGATTAGCACCCAGGGGACTCGGCCTTCTGTGGCCCTGGCCAGAGGTAGAATTTGGCCCAACACAGTACAAGCTGACTTGGAACAGCATATAGGTAGCTGGGGCCTGTGCATGCCAGGCAAGGCCAAGCTGGCTCAAAGAGGAATCAGCCACCTCTGCAAGGGTGTGCCTGGAGCAGGTGGAGCAGCCACCAACCTCACCCACTCAAGGAAGCAGGGATGGCCAGATTCCTATAGCCTGAGGGGCTGCCTCCTGATGGCTGATGGAGCAGAGGCCTGAGGAAAAGCAGATAACACTGTGGCCCTACCTGTAGGGTAGAAGAACTGATGTACCCCGACCGGCAGCAAGTCAGGTTGGTGGCTGGTCCACCAGCTCCAGGCACACCCTTGCAGAGGTGGTCGGTTGCTTTTTGAGCCAGCTTGGCCTTCCCCGGCATGCACAAGTCAGTGCAACAACTGTGACACAAATGGAGCCACACAGAGAAATTGAGCAGCAGGCTCAGGAGCAGGGTGTGTGCTGCCTCAGGGGCTCCAGTCCATGCCTCAGGGCTCATATGGCACTGCGGGCTTCTTGGTTGCAAAGAGGCAGACCACAGGCCATCTTCAGGAGGTCTTTATGTTGAAGTGCAGAAAACAGCCAGGATTACCACCCGTGGGACTGGCCTGACAGAATTTGGCCCAAGGCAGGAGAAGTTCACTCAGAGCAACGTATCTATACCTGGGGCCTGTGCATGCCAGTCAAGGCCAAGCTGGCTCAAAGAGCAACCAGAGCGTCCATTCTGGTGGATGAGCCAACCACATGGCCAGCTTCTGGGTGTGGGCACAGTGCCACATCTTCCATCACTTTCTGATGTATCCCACCAGCACTGAAGAGACAGCCTGGAGAGAGTGCAAGAGGAAGGCTGAGAAGGATGAGATGGTGAGTGCTGGCTTCTTTCTGACCCTCAGCACACCCCCAGGTGGGGACCATCAACCTTTAGGGGTGGGAGAGCAAGATTGATGGCTTCAAATGCTTCCCCAAGAAGATGGACACAGGCCACTCAGCTCAACCTCACAGCCAATGAGTTGACATGCAAGCAGATGACAGTGACAGGCTTTTAGAAAGAGCTTCAGAAGGCGGCCAGTTTTTCTTCAGCCTCAGCCAGGCCTTGGAGCTTGACTAGGCCATCCACTTAAGCAGAGATGCCTTCAAGAACATCAGTGAGCTCTTTGCCAATCAGTCCAGGAAGGACCTGGACCCAGGCATGGACCTGTTAGTGCTGTCTCAGGGACACCAGACCAACATCCTGGACATCATCCTCGTACACAAGGAAGCTCTTACCAAAGTCACGGACAACAGGCAACATGTGGCAGAAGGGAAGACAGAGGTACAGAGGCTGATGGTGTCATTATCACAGGAACAGGATTTCTTTGGCCACTTTGGCTGAAATTCACCACTTCCATCCAATTCACTCAAGTGAGAGACTTGAAATCACAGATGGAGCATTTCTTGCAACAAGAGATACTATTTTTTCAAAAAGTCACCTAAAATTTGATAGTGTTGAATAACTAGTTATTCGATTGTGAACTTTTTCCAGTTCACAGGTACTTTCTACAGCAGAATGATAACAGTATCAAAGAGCTAGTGCCAGCTATCGGTGGTAGTACAAGGATGATTTTGTGCTCAAGTGAAACCCAGCTGAATATAGAATTGTGTAGGATAGTGTTAATATGGTGATAGAATAGAAACAGCAGCAAATGAACTAAGTCATACTATGAATGCCTACACTACCATGGTAACTTTTTGAAGAATGATAATACCACTTACTTTATTGCCTTTTGAAGTAGGAATATTTTAGTGGATATGCTATAGACCTCAAGTCCTATAAAAAGTCTCAAAGAAGCTGGCTGGATAAAGCCTGCTGTGGATGTCTTTATACTCAAAGACTGATGATGCAATTTGAATATGTGTCCCCACCACATCTCATGTTGTGTTATATTTCCTAATGTTGGAGGTGGATCCTGGTATAAGGTGATTGAATCATGAAGGCAAACTTCTCATGAATGGTTCAGCACCATCCCCTTGGTACTGTCCTCATCACAATCATGAGTGACCTCGTGAGATCTGGCCACTAAAAACTCTATATCACTCCCTACTCTCCGTGATTTCCTCTTGCATTGTGAGACAATTTGCTCTTTCATTGCATTGTGCAATGATTGAAAGATTTCTGAGACCCCCCAGAAGCAGAAGCACTGTGCTTCCTGTCCACCCTGCAGAACCATGAGCCAATTAAACCTCTTTTTCAAAATAAATCATACCAAAAATGGCAAATGAGGACTGGAGCTTTGCTATAAAGATACCTAAAAATGTGGAAGCGGCTTCGGAACTGGGTAATGGTTAGCGGTTGGAAGAGTTTGGAAGGCTCAAAAGAAGACAGACAGATGAGAACATTTTTGGGCCATCTTAGAGACTGGTTAAATGGTTGTGACAAGAATGTTGACAGAAACATGGACAGTGAAGGCCAGGCTGAGGGGGCCTAGATAAAAATAAGAAGATTTCTGGAAAATGTCTTCCTTTTGGATATGGAAAGCTTACACAATGCCTGTACCATCATTTTACTTTAGACGCAGTGAACTTGCTTTTTATTTCAGAGACTCGTAGGAAAAAGAGAATGTAGCCTTGACCCAGATGAGACTTTGTACTTTGTAACTTTGAGTTAATGCTGAAACGAGTTAAGACTTTGGGAGACTGCTGGCAAGGCATGACTGTATTTTGCAATGTGAGAAGGACATGAGATTTGTGGTGTCAGGGACAGAATAATACGGTTTTTCTCTATGCCCCTTCCAAAACTCATGTGAAAATACACTCCCTAATGTTAGAGTCGGGGCCTAGGTGGAGAAAGCTTTAATCATAAAGGGGTGGGAGTAGATCCTTCACAAATGGTAAAGCACCAAGACCTTAATGCCATCCTCCTGATAGTGAGTGAGTTCTCATGAGATCTAGTAGTTTAAAAGGCTGTGGAACCTCTTTCGTCTCTCTGTCTTGCTCCAACTTCTGCCATATGAAACATATCATTGCCGCTTGGATTTCCGGTGTGGTTAGGAGGAGCCTGATCATTGTGGGCCTGGTCAGTGGTAGGTCAGTGAGGCCTATTTAGTGGGATCGTGGTCAGCAGGGGTCTGCTTAGAGAGGGTCTTATTAGTGGGATCAAGTTTTAGGGGTTTTGGTGAGTGGGGACCTATTGGCTGCCAGATGTTTGGTGTCTGGTCAGTGCAAACCTGGGCTGTGGGGCTTGATCAGTGGAGACCTGGTCATCTGGGACTTAGTGCTGGCCTGGTCAGCATGGGCTGGGGCACTGGTGACAGGTCAAGGGGTGCTATTCAGTGGAGGACTGGGCACATGGGACCCAGTCAGCAGAGCCTGGTGGGCGTGTCCTCATCAGTGAGGCCCTTGTCGGTGGGTCCCTGGTCAGGGCAGCCTTGTCAGTAGGACCTAATCAGTAGGGTCCTGGTCAGAGAGGACTTTGTCAGTGGTGACTTTTGTAGCACTGGTCTACAGGGTGACCTGGTCAGCAGGGATCTGAGCATTACATGCCTGTTCAGTGGGGTCTACTCACTAGGGTCCCAGTCAGGGGCATCTGGTGACCTTAGGCCTGGTTAGTAGCGGCCTGATCAGTGGCAACCTGTTCCCTGGAGGCCTGGTCAGTGGGGCCTCATCTTTGGGGCCAGGGAATGAGGTCATGATCAGTGGAACCTGATCAGTGAGGCCTTGTCAATAATGACCTAGTCAGTGAGGACTTGTCAGTAAGGACTTGGTCCTTGAGGCCTTGTCAGTGAGGCCTTGTCAGTAAGGTCCTGGTCAGTGGAGTCCTTGTCATTGTGTGCCTGGCAGTGGGGGCCTTGTTAGTGGGGTCTGGTCATGAGGGTCTAATCAGTGAGGGTGTCATCAGGGAGGACCTGATTTGCAGGGTCTGGTCAGCAGGGACCTGGTCAATGTGGGCTACTGAGCACTGCTTGGATAAGCCAGGTGCAATGTGCATTATTGAAGGCCCTGTGGACAGCTGGGGTAGCCCAGTGGTACCCAAGGGCCCAGTCAAAAGTGGACAAAGCATGTGTTTGGATGGACCTGGGAGATCCTGCTCAGAGATTCTGAGAGGACAACGGTAAAGGAAGGGCCAGAGTGGCTGGAGAGATGGTCACAGTCTATGGGCTGCACAGGATGGAGGAGGCCAGGTAACAGGCAGGGTGGGCAGTTGGGGTTCAGGGAGAGGCAGGTGCATGCTGGGAGGTCAGACCCTGTTAGGGCTGTGGGGGCATCAGGTGAGGTGGGCTCCAGGTGCACTCTCAGTGCACTGGGTAGGTCTCACCCCAGGCTCCCTGGACCCCAGCCAGGTGATGTGGTCACTCCCTGGGGGACTACTGTCAGGCCCTGGCCAACCACCCTGGGCAGTGTTGTCCCATCTCAGGATTGGACTTTCTCAGTTCCTGCAGAGGGCACAGCCTCCAGCCCAGGAGGGGCAGCACCATGGTGCAGCCCGAGCTCTCCATGGGCCTGGAGCATCCCCTGCCAGCCCTGCACTCCCTCTTCTCCCAGGTCCCACTTTTCCAGTATCAGCCAGCTGGTAGGCCCCCTCCTCCCTTCCCTATGTGTCTCCTGGGTGGAAACTAGTGGCGGATTGGGACAGGGATGGTGCTTCCCTCAGGCCCACTTAGGGAGGGGACTGGCTCCCAGCCTGGTGCAGGTCCTCAGCTCTGCCTTTGTTGCCTCAGAGTGAGAAGGATCAGTTAGTGCCCTGAAGGTGAAGGTAAGAGATTGTCCTTGCTGTGTGGGAGGCTGTTCTAGGGATGGAGGACTTGGCAGGTTCTCCCAGTCTGTCAGGCCTGGACAGCACTGTCCTGTCTCAGGACTCAGAAAGTCCAGTCCTGGGATGGGACGGTGCTTCCCAGGGTGGGTGGCCAGGGTCTGACAGTAGTACCCCAGGGAGTGACCACATCACCCAGCCATGGTCCAGAGGGCCTGGACTGAGACCTGCTGAGTGCACTGAGGGTGCACCTGGAATCCACTCCACCTGACATCCCCGCAGCCCTCACAGGGCCTGACCTCCCAGCATGCACCTGCCTCTGCCTGCACCCCAGCTGTCCACTCTGCCTGTTCCCTGACTTCCTCCATTCTGTCCAGTAGGATGAGCTGGTCTTGGGGGACAGCCTATGTGCACATTTGGTGGCAAGTAGAAGTGACACACCATCCCTGGGAGTCACCATAGTTCCTGCCAAACCCAGCCCCAGAACTCTGCCCCTGAGGTGGTTTTACTAAATCCCAAACCCAGAACTGTGGTTGTGGCTCAGGGGTCAGCACCTGCTAGTGCCAGGACACTATTGGGAGGCTGGGACCTGACCAAAACCCATGGTGCCTGTGGCCTGAGGACAGTGTGTCTTGGGGCCATAAGGCCAGGCCAACAATGGCCATTGTGTCATAGGGGCTCAGCCCCAGTGTTTATCCTTCCCTGGCTACTTCTGATTCAGTCCCATCAGGGCCCTGGAGCCCAAGACCCAGCATCCAAGGTCCCCTCCAGGAATCCTGGTGGCTCAGCTTACTTTATTGTGTTTCATCTGACAACAAAAATGTCAGATTGGATGCACAGAAAAATGACTGGAAGTGCTTAATGACTAGAAGAAATCTAGGAGCAGCAAGAAGGTAATGTGGAGAGGGCAGGAACTCCATGACTGATATCTGCAGAGCCAGGGGTACAGGCACCCAGTGCTGTGTCCTGGCACCACCTGTCTCTCTGAGGTTGAGTAGCACACTGTCCTTACCCAGAGGACAGCAGACCTGGTCACCAGGTTTCGGCCTGTCCCTGCAAGCATCACATTGCTGGAAGAGAATCTCATGCCAGAGCTGGCACCATCCCTAGCTCAGGGGTTAGGGGTTGTCTCTTGGTGACCTAAATGAAAAAATAGGTCTAGATCAGATTTCCCGACGCTGAGCACTCATCCACTCTTTGAATCGTGGGAGGGGAGTCCCGGTCCTCGGCTGCTCCTCAAGGGAGACCCCTTTCAGGTATGGGGCTGGGCAAGGTCAATCCTGCTGGATATCTAGAAGGTGTAAACCAAGGACCTAGGAAAATACCAGGTACAGACTTTCCACGCTCATCCAGAGCAGGACAAACAGGCCAGGCGATGTCAGGAGACCAGGTCTCCAGCTGGAGGGAACGTCAACCCTGCAGTGGGAGCAAGGGCCCATTGCACATCCTAGGCACAGATGGTAACGTAGGCACCACAGGTAAGCTGGGCTTAGTACCCCTTCCTGGCTTCAGAAAGAAGCCAAACAAGGAGCTTTCTGCAGAATGAAACCTCCTTTCCTTCCAGAAGCACTGCTGACTGGTGCTTGTTGTTTGTGGCAGTGAGCCCTTTGTTCATTCTGCGGTTGGGCTGCTTTCTCCTCTGGGCCCTGCCCTGCAGATCAGAAAGGAGAACAGTAAGAGGTCCCCAGCAAACATCCAGAGATGGCCCTGGAGATAAGTCACCTTCTGAGAAACACGTCATATTCTAGGAGGGCTAAGGCATTAAGTAAGTCTTATGGGGTTGGAGGATCCCAGGGCAGGTGTGGCAATCCATAGCCATGGGGGCTTCCCACGGGAATTGGGAGGTCCCAAGGCAGAGTCAGGGGTTCCACAGGAGGAGTCACAGAGCCACCAAGGGCTCTCCTGGCCCAGGAAGCAGTCAATACCATGGACTGAACACCTGCTGGCTCCAAGCCCTGGTCCAGGATGGGGCATGTGGGGCCTGGAGGGAGCTCAGAGTGGGAGGCAGAGAGAAGTGTGCTCAGAGGGCACCCATTTCTGCATGTAACGTGGTCCTGAGATTTTTGCTGGGAAGGGTTTCCAGGGTTTCATATGTGTTATGGAGCTACTTCCTCTCCCCAGCCTCACCCTGCAGGAATCCAGTGACTATATTGCCGCCAGTGTACCCATTCCTGAGGGGTGATGCTTCTACAAGGCCTGTGACTTGGTGCACAACTTCAGACACCATCATCCTGAGCAAGTGGGCTTCTCCGGGATCTTAATTCAGGAGGTAGAATGCAGCTTGAGATCAACTGTCCGATCAAAGAACTTGAACTTGATCTGGAGTGCTTTGGGGAGCCATGGAAGGTGCTGGATAAAGGAGGGGCCAGTCAGATACGTGTTAGAGATGACTGTAGAAGGCTGACTGGAATGAGTGAACAAGAGCAGACCAGGGAGGGAGCTTGTGGGGGAGGTCTGGAGATGGCAAGGGAGGGATCCTGCTTGGATGAACAGTCTCCAGAGACTGTCTCAGGTTACAATCAGGTGCCCTCAGAGCTAGTGTGTTCAGAGGTCTTGTCTCCAGGATGAAAATGGGAAGGAGTTGTCAGATGAGGACGTGTAAATGGAGGCTGGCCTGTTCATGAATGCCAGTGGTGGTCCTGGTGTGGGGCTACTATGAGAACAGGGGTCTCTCCATCCAGGGACATGGTGGATGGACCCTACATCACTCCATTCTGCCCTTTCCTTCCCTCCTCCCATTCTACCGAGGGCCTCACTGCGTTGGCACTCTCCATCCTCTGGTACTGAAGCAGCCAAGAGACACAAACCTGCCTGGCCACCTTTAGAATATGACAGCACAGCCAGTGGCCTCTACTGGATCCTGTACAACCTCACAAGACCCCCAGACACCAGGAGTGCTGCTAGAACATGGTGCAAGAGTCCTGAGGGACCACAGTCCTGAAGACATTGAATGGTGAGTGCAGGGCCTCATGGCCTGTTCTCCAGCCCTTCTCATTGGCTCTGCTCCAGGTGGTGAAGGGGGAAAATGTTTTTGTCAATTCTGCCATGATTGCCTAGCAGGAAAAGTAGCAGAGCCCAGAAGCAAGGCCTGGTACCCAGCCTGCATAATGAGGAAAATTTGTAGGCTTTGTGGACAGAAACATATCTATCACCCACTAACTCTGTAAGACATTAATAAAATCAGTTTTCTTTTCTGAACTACATTTCTGCCACCTGTAAATTGAGGGGAATTTCTTCTACCTCACAAAGCTGCTTGGGGAATGCCTGACAGTGAATGTAGAGCAGGTGGCACCCAGCCAGCATTTGGTGTCCAGACCACTCCTCTTCCCCCTTGATTTTCTGCCTATATTTGCATTTTGTTCCTAAGACCTTCACTCCCCTTTATTTTGCTCTTCCCTCTGATTCCCACCTTATCATCGATCCCATGGATTCACCAGGATTGAAGCAGGTAACAGTCATGTATGCATGTATGTGTATGTACATATGCCCTGTATTGGTGTTGGAGTGTGGGGTGTGTGTGTGTGTGTGTTGGAGTCACTGAGTGACTGAAACAGTCCACACCAGCCTGTGTTCCTGCTCATTGCTGGAGGTGTTGTCAGCTCCCCTGCCCTCAACCCAAGGTCTAACCCTTGCAGTGCAGGCAGGGCGTTCAGGAGGAATCATGTCTTTGGAAGGAGCCCTGAGGAGTGACTGGTGGGTATTGGTGGATAAATATCCCAGCTCCCTTGCTTTTGGTGGGATGACTCTGAGATACATGTTCTGTGCTGTCTCTCAGAAGTACCTGGCAGGGCTGAGTCTTGGCTGCCACAGTGGAAACTTTCCTGATGAAGGTCCCTTTAACTGCTGCATTCCTTTCCTGTCTCAGTTCCCCACTCCTCTTCTGGTGTTTCCTGGGATTACCACCCTAAGGAAGAACTGGCAGTAGAATTACTGTCCGAGAGTCATCTCCAAACAAAATTTTTGTATCTGAATCTTTTCCTCTGGATCTACTTCCAGGAAACTCAAACTAAGACACACATTTTTCAGTCAGCTCCTACAATCCTCATAGACCTGTGATTGTGCTGAGGATCAGAGAGGGAAAGTCACTTGCCCAAAGTCACACAGCTGAACAGTGGTGGAGTTCAACTTTGACCATAGGCTGTCTGGTCCCAAGGTGGATGCTTGCTCCTCTGGCATGAGACTTCTCTCTTATCAGGGTCAAATGAATGAATGGAGGCTGTTAAAAATTTGGTCTCTGATGCCTGTGCCAGAGGCTCATGGTTGGTGCCTGTGTTCTCATTCTTACCTCATTAAGAGTAATAATGAAAAACATGCTCAGGGCTGACTGTGCCTCGGGGTGTTGTTGTAGGTACTTTGCTTACTTTAATTCATTTAATTTTCACAATAACCTTGTTTTTACTTTTAGTTTTTAGGTGAAAAAAACTGGGGCAAAGAGCAATACAAGAGAGTTGCCGAAATTCGTTCTGCTTGTCCAGGTTTGAAGCAAGCAGTCTGCACCTAGTGTCCTTGTCTGTAACCATGGCACCCTGGTTTCTCACACATCTCATAATGGAGTTCCACCTTGTGTCAAGCATGGCACTGAGCAGTTTATTTTAAGAACATAATTTGTAATTATGTAGATTACTAATTCTACTTCAAAATGACACACAGTCTTCATGTGATAAAAGGAAACAATTGGTAAGTGTAAGCATTGAGAACAAACATTCTTTTTTCCGCTCCCGACTCCATTCCAACGTTCAGACAGTGTTTTCTCTGTGCCTGTAGAACCTCAGCTCCTGTGCCGAGGAGCCTGGTCCCTTTGGCAAAGCAGTGTGGCAGTCAGGTGCTGGCAGGAAACTCTCATCAGCTGACGGGCCATTAAGAAGGAGCTGTTTACAACGGCGTGGGCAGGATCAGGGGGAACGAGGAGGGATGGCACAAGGCCCTGGGGTTAGGGTCATCTGGGAACTGTCACCACCCCCCAGTCTTGTGGAGCCATAGAGAAGCTTTCTCAGGAACTCATAGGGAGAATCTGCAGCTGAAAGGGGACGCCAGAGGAGACATCACTCTCTTGCCCTTTGACTGCGTCTGGATGCCCCTACTGACCAACACTACCATCCCCTTATTAGACTGGAGAGGCTGCCGGGAGGGTTTCTAAGCCTCCTATTGTGGCTCACCTCCAACAGTGAGTCAGCACCGGCTCTCCTGGCCCGACAGCCCAGGTTCCCCTTAGCCGCTCTATCCTGCATGGTCCCCTTTCCCGCTGGGAAGCAGATACCCAAATGAGCAGCAGAACCCTGTCTCTCCCAGCAGGCCCCTCTGCTCTTTATGAGTGGTTTTCTGGGTCCCCTCCCTTGGTTTGGGATGAGAAACACCCTTTTCAATTCCACAGGGATTGTTTCTGTGGACTGTACCCTGAGTGTTTCCCTGGTGGGGTAATGGGCAGGTGGGAGTGGTGGTACCGACTCTTTAGAACCAGCAATGCCAAACAGATCCCACTCGGGGAAAGTTCATGCTAAGTGTCATGTGTCCTCTGGAATTTTCTGAAGCTTTCCAGCTTTTTTATTACCCCCCTAACCAGCTCATCTGATTTCCAGGGATCTCTACTAAGATGTTGGCAGCCCGGCCAGCTGGTCTGGCCATGGATGTGACTTCAGGGGCTGGTTATGCTTCATGCACCTGCTTCTAGCTTCACTGTTGGGCCAGATTTCATCCCCACCCCAGCTCTGCAGCGCAGCTGCTTCTTGATTCCTCCATGGACCCTGCGTGAAATTACCCCATGTTTCCCTTTGTGCACCACTGAGGAAGGAAGCATGAAGGACACACAGGTCAGGACATTCAATTGCCCACCTGGTGCTGGGTCTTTACTGCTGGGATGGCTCCAGGGGCTGGTCCTTCTCCATTGCCTCCTCCACATCTTTCAGGTTTCTGCTCAAAAGTCACCTCTTCGAGGGGTCTCTCCCTTTCACTGTGTTTGGAACAGCTTCCTCAGTTTGTTTCTAGTTCTTCTCACTCTGGTAATGTCTTTGATTACCACCACCATCTGATTTGGTCTTATGACCTGTTAGCTTCCTTCATCAGACATGAACACTAGGATGGCAGGGGCCTCATCTGTCCTGTTCGTCCTGTGGCCTGGGTCCTGGCACCATGTCTACTACTACAGTGTAAATGCTAAGGGGAAGTTTACTTTGAAGAACTGTTTACCTGGGAGATGTTACTGTTAGCCTAACCTGTACCATTTTGTAAACCCCCAGCCATTTTGCAGACCCTGGTCACAGTGAAACATTCCATGGGAACTCGGGCTGTGAGAAACATCCTTCCTAACCACATGACTGCAGGAACATCCTTATCGCATCCTCCCAGGCAAAGGTCCAACAGCCTGACTGCAGGGACATCCTTGCCGTTTCCTGCTGGGCAGCAAGCTCTACCACCCAGACCCCTCCCTCCCATCCCATGATTACCTCAGCCTGTGAGCGGCAGTTGGCGCTGGCACTAAGCTGGTTCACCCCTCCTCAGGGTTTTGTTGGCAATAAAAGTGTTGCTGTTGAAGCCGCCAACTGTCTCTCTCTGTCTTTCTTTAACCCTCGCCTTGCCTTCAAAACGTAACAACTCTACCCCTCCATTTTTCCAAGGAGGATATGGGACTCAAGGAGAGCAAGAGACTTACCCAGTGAGTCAGAGAGCCTGAATTTGAACTCAGGTCAGCTGAATTCAGAACTTGTTTATTCCTAAGAGTCCAGGAAAGGAAAGGTGGAACTGCAGCCTGTGGGCAGTCTGCATGCTTGTCTTAGGAGACCACAGGTGGGCTCCTGGGAATTGTGTCTTCCTGGGCACAAAAGAAGAACTGCTCACCTGTGCTGCATCAGCTAAGTGTCCCCATTGTCCAAATTGTTATTTCTTTTCAAAGTTTTGTTTTAATAATTAAATTTATCACAGCTTGGTGTTGAAAACAAAGCACAGAGGCATATAGAAACTCATGTGTGAGTTTTTCTCAATTTTTTTCCCAGTGACTATATAAATGAGTGTGCAAAAGACCACCAATACGGTCATACTTTTTATATAGAGATGAGACCATCCCATCCATATTCCTTTCCCACTATGCTGTCTTTCTTTCTTTTTTTTTTTTTTTTTTTTCATGGGAGGACCACTATTCCATTTCTAGTCCATGTGCTTTGGGAAGGGCTGACCTACCCTCGGCAATCAGATCAGCAGGGTAATTCATTCAGGGATGGGCATGTGATCCAAGCTGGGCTCATGGAAGCCATCCCTGCACTTTTGATGAAACGGCCTTGAATAGGGTGCTTTCTTTTTATTGGAATAGCTACTTGCAAGGAAGTAAGTGATAAGAAATATATGGGGCCATTTTTGCTGCTCTCTCAAAATAGCCTCTCTGAAAAGCAGAGCTGGCCCAGGAAATGAAGGGACGGAATGAGTCTTGGTTGAAATTAGCTGACCCCTGATCCCACTGAGCCAGAAGCCATCTACTCCTGGATATTTTTAGTTGTGATAGACAAATAATTCAATGTTCTGCTGGATCGGGTTAGGTTAAGTGAGTCAAGGACTCACTTGAAGTCAAGAGAGTTCTGCATAATATCACTTTCTCTTATGCTTAGGTCCCACCTGCCAGAGCTTTAGAGCTGTAGAAAGGGTAAAGTGAACCAG